>NC_000006.12:61701291-62004321 GCF_000001405.40 Homo sapiens | reverse complement strand
TATCCCTTTTATCATTTTTTGTTGCGTCTATTTGATTCCTCTCTCTTTTCTTCTTTACTAGTCTTGCTAGTGGTCTATTTTGCTGATCTTTTCAAAAAAGAAACAGCTCCTGGATTCATGGATTTTTTGAAGGATTTTTCGTGTCTCTATTTCCTTCAGTTCTGCTCTAATCTTAATTATTTCTTGCCTTCTGCTAGCTTTTGAATTTGTTTGCTCTTGCTTCTCTAGTTCCTTTAATTCTGATGTTAGGGTGTCAATTTTAGATCTTTCCTGCTTTACCTTGTGGGCATTTAGTGCTATAAATTTCCCTCTACATACTGCTTTAAATGTGTCCCAGAGATTCTGGTACGTTGTGTCTTTGTTCTCATTGGTTTCAAAGAACATCTGTATTTCTGCCTTCATTTTGTTATTTACCCAATAGTCATTCAGAAGCAAGTTGTTTGGTTTCCATGTAGTTGTGTGGTTTTAATCCTGAGTTCTAATTTGATTGCACTGTGGTCTGAGAGAGAGTTTGTTGTGATTTCTGATCTTTTACATTTGCTGAGGAGTGCTTTACTTCCAACTGTGTGGTCCATTTTGGAATAAGTGTGATGTGGTGCTGAGAAGAATGTATATTCTGTTGATTTTGGGTAGAGAGTTCTGTAGATGTCTATTAGGTCTGCTTGGTGCAGAGCTGAGTTCAAGTCCTGGATATCCTTTTTAACCTTCTGTCTCTTTGATCTGTCTGATATTGACAGTGGAGTTTTAAAGTCTGTCATCATTATTGTGTGGAGTCTAAGTCTCTTTGTAGGTCTCTAAGGACTTGCTTTATGAATCTGGGTGCTCCTATATTGGGAGCATACATATTTAGGATAGTTAACTCTTCTTGTTGCTCAATCATGAAGTTGAAAGATGTTCTCCTCTCAAGAAATAACTTGAGAGTTTAGCTAACAAGAATTACATTTTAGTTGAATAAATGATTTTGTCCTAAAATATAATATCCATCTATGTGGGTACAAATGTTATTTTATTTTATTTTATTTTATTTTACTTTACTTTTTTGAAAGACAGGGTCTCACTTTGTCACCCAAGCTGAAGTACAGTGGTGCAATAGTAGCTCACTGCAGCCTTGACCTCCCAGGCTCAAGTCATCCTCCCACCTCAGCTGGGACTAGAAACCCATGACTTGGAGACAGTGTTATTAAGAAAGATAAGGAATATTGTCTGAATTGGAAGTATGTTTACCTGCAAAGAAAAATGAGTTAGATAATCAGTTGGAAAAAAAAGTATAATTTTGCCAAAAAGAAAAGGGATTAGATTTTATATACATTAGGTTTAACTATGAAATTTTTACATATGAATTAATAGTATTACCAAATCCTCAGAATGGTTTGATAAAATGGAAGAATTATGAAATTTTAATTGTCTCAGTTTTCTAAATTGCATGTTATTATTTTAAAATTCTGTTATAGAATCTCATATTTTAACTTAACATGTAGGATATAACAATAATGAAAATAATTAAGAAAATTAAATTATAAGAAATTTAACCTATACTATATTTTATCTTTGTGTTATGACATTTGTGACTAAAATGTAATTATAGAAAAAGAACATGCAATAGATGAGACTTTCATGATAATGCCATTTATATTACCTTCTTTGTAATTTTTATTGAGTCACTGACATTTTAAAATAATTATAATGATTTTTACATTGCTCTATTCTACATTACGATTGAAATCTTCAGATAAACAATTTATTTTTAAAAAGAGTAATATAGTATTTAAAAGGTTAAATGCTGTTATTTAGAGAGATGTGGGTATAAAAGAGAAAATTAAATAATTTTATAACTATTATTAATATAGAAATTGTTACAGATAGCAAAAATGATAGAAAAGACATTTATGATGTTTAATGAACACATTTGAAAATATATTTTTATCAGAAAAGTATCCCAATACTAGCTGATGCACAGATATATAATAAATAAATAAACCTTCATTTTTATTTTATTATTTCAAGCAATAGCAATGTACTGAGAAAAGCACTTATCCAATATTATCATCTTACTTCATTCATGATTTATTCTTAGTAATAGGAAATTTTAGAAACCCAGGAATATCAAACACCTTTGGTGGAATTTTTTTTTTTAATCACTGTGGTGATTATGCTTCTTAATGCCCATAAAGGAAGCTTAAAATGTCAAAATTGAATGGTTTCAAATGTGTGCACTTTCTGATTACTCAAGGTAATCAAAAAAGGTGCTCTAACTATTCAGTAAAAGCTTTACAGATATTAGGGAACATTACACTTTCTATGCTTCAGCTAAAGTGAGTACAGTGTCATAACGCTAAAATTTAATTTTCCCTTTGATCTACTTTGCAAGTTCACTTGCTTCTTGAAAATAATTTCTCAAATAACCTTCTTTCAGTAAAAGCCATGCAAGATAATCCTCTTCTTTTCAACCTAAAGATGAAATAGATGTGTCAGTAGTAAGCACAAAGAAAATTGAAACAAAAATTCAATAACTTTTCACCTCTGAGATTTGTTCACCTGAGTGTCATTTTGGTTCAACTTCTGTATGTATCATTAATGTTTGCAGACTCTCTGTGTGGTATTTCATGGAAAGACCAAATTCGTCTGTTCATATTCAACAAATTCTAGAAGTAATACCAGCAGAGTCTATGAATGACTTGCATTAACATTGAAAAGTGAATATATTTACCAGCTGTTAAAATAATAATGTTATTAAGAATATGGACATGGTAAGTATCACTTTGTTGTCTTGGTTTTCTGTAATTTTTTTCCACCCTGGGCAGTTTCAAGTTAGCAATTTTATCCTATTCTTCTTAAAAGTATCTGTTATTTTGAAAAATATTTTTCATTTTTCCAATATATTCCATGTTTTAATGTAGTGTCACAGTAAGAAGAGCACCAATATGTAAAAAAAAAAAAATGAATGATTGTAAGGATTTCAATTTTACGTCATACACCCACAAAATAAACTTACTTAATATTCTATTCATAGATAATAGTGTGTTACCTTCTTTGTTTGATGAAACTCTGTATAGTTGATGGTTTTTAAACTTTAACCCTGAGACTACTGACCCATTAACTCCACTAATTAGGCTAAAACCTAATTTGCATATTCTTTAAGGACTTTGCTCTTAAATTGCTTATCTGTTTTACATTTCACTAATTATTTAAATTGTCCTCAAGTAAGGTGACCAGAACGTAAGAAGCTATTCCAATAATGTCTGAATGAGGCCAGGAAGGGCTGCTTCTCAAACACCACACATTATTGCTCAAGCACAAATGGTGACTCTTGTCAAAGTCACTTTGTGTTACTTTAACAGCACCTTCCTGTTCTTAATTTTTCTTTTGAACTATTTGTATGTCAACTAAACATATTTCTGCTGAATTTTTGACTGATTTAATAGTACTAATTTTTCATAATAGCCAACTTTGTTTTTATTTTTGCTATTGAAGGACCATACTTTTCCAATTTTGAATTGTTTGAAAATTCAAAATATTTTGAACATGTGATGCTGACTGAGGTCATGCAGCACAGCTACTCTGGAAGAACCTCATGAGACCGCCTCTCTGCTGAAGTGCTCTACCTTCCTGCCCACCTGTATAAATCTTGCCAAGTGCCACTTTCTGCAGTGAGTCTTCCCAGAGCTGAAACCTCCGGCATCTTTTTCTCTGATTCCCTACACCCTTTTACTGGACATCTGTAAAGCCTACATTGACCACTTACAAGAACACTGATTTAACTCTTACGAATCTTTAAGGTGCTTAATTTGATATTTTTTTCTCACTTTCCTATCACTTGTTTGACAAATATCAAATTTTCAGTTTAATTGTAGATCTCATTGTTGCTTATTCTTTCAACAATAATGCAATTAGGAGAGACAGTAAAAAGTGAAAAACTTACATTCCAAATCCAATCAACTAATATTTTGTTAGACTCTGTGTTGAGAAGGATTCTGAGGTTACATTTGAGTTTAGCAGGAAAAAAAATTGAGATCAATTAGTGACATTTACCAGGCAGTATAACTTGGGAAATGGTATAAGTTCTTCTGCATATCTGCCTATCACTGGATCTAAATGAGTATTTCAGATCTTTTTAAACCAGAACTCACTATAGGAAGCATGTTTTATGTCATGATCCAGCAAACACATGTGTGCATGTGCATACACACACACACACACACTCACACAATTGTGGTAGTCTGTATGAGGGCCCCCTAAAGATGTCCATATCATCCTAATCCTGGAAACTGTAAAGACATTATCTGATATGATAACAGAGACTTGCAGATGTAATTAAGTTAAGGATCTTAAGATGAGAATACAGTATAATAGTTTTTGTTTTGCTATTATAGTAGTGGGAAAATAACTTTAATGTGTACTGATTTTCACCATAAGATATCTAATATTCTAACTTTAATTTTGTTTCTGATTTTAATAATGATGCTCTAATATATTTTATGTTATTAATACAATGTTTTTTATCAAATAAAAACTCAAACTCATTACAGTGAGTTTGATGGAAGAAAAAACTATAAAAGACAAAGATGCCTTTTCATAATTTAACAGCTTTTCTCTGGCTTTAAAATTCATTTTGTGCTATTATTACCAAAACTCACCTGGTCTAATAATTTTTTATCTGATTTAAGTTGGTAGAGTGAAATTTATGCAAATTGTTGGATATTAAAAATATTTGTACTTTTAAGCACTGTAGAAACTATTTTTGAAATTTAAGAAGGATCATAGCTTTGGATCCACAAAATCCAAAGGTATGTGCCATAACACATCCAAAGGATGTGTTTTTGGTATACCCAAAGTGTGCCACAGTATATAAAGGAAAGAAGTATACTGAAAACAACTTTAAGTTATATCAGCGTTATTACTCATGATAATGATGCTTGATCAGGTACAAATTTATAGAAATTGTTCTCCATACGTACATAACATAATAAATATCCATTTCAGTAACTATGCAAACCTTGATTAGAATTTTTATTTACAGGAATGCTTGTTTGCTAATACAGAAAGAAAAGTTAGCATTTCTCTGAGCATTTAAATAAAATCACTCGAGGATGCTTTTATTTGGGTTGGAGGTTGGAAATTGGTGAACAAATTTTTACCCTAATGTAAATGAGTCAGGTCATTTGTTAGGTCAATTTATAAGTGTAGTTTTGTTTCTTTCCTCCCAATTACTGAATATTTTCAAATTGATTTATAGTTTGCCTTAATGCAAGAAAGAATTTTAGTCAGCTTGTAAGTACATAAAGATAACAAGTCTCAAAACAAAATAAATGAGAAAATGTAGGCAAAGAAAACACAAATTTTAGAAATATAGCTAAGCCTAAAGCTTATTAAATATAGTTTGAAATATATGTGTACATATATTTGTGTATATGTGTGATATGTATATGTTTATATACAGGATAAAGTTATACTTAGATGAACAGGCAGTATTTTGTATGACTTCAAGGTCAATGTTTGAAGCAGGAAAGGTCAAGAGAAGCAGAAAGCCATTTTGTCGTGGAGTTTTGCAGATTACTTCAAATGGATCAAAGTTTTTATTTCCTTTTATTTCTAGCCAAGGTGACCTTTTTAATTATTGGCATGAATTTGGAAAGCAGAAGGACAAAGGAGAAAACAAACACAAAAAATATACTAAAAATATATGCCAGAAAGAAAGAATAAAACAATGTTTTCTGGAACTCGTATCTACGTATTTTGGTTTAAAGTGACCTCCAAAAATAAAGATAAAGAAGAAAACGTGTTTTCCATTCTGGGAAAGAAATCCTATGAAATTTGGCATGTTTGGCCCATTTCATTTTGTTCATAAGGTAGAGATTGAGTATTAATTAAAACCAAAATGTAGATATTATGACAAAATGAAAATCTCATTTTGCTAGAGGGAATCAAATGTCTTCCAGACACCTTTGACTGAATTTTTCAGGAGTGTAAGAAATAGCAACTTATTATAGTATGAGTAAAATGTTGTCAATGAAGTATGATTACAAGATGGTTGATTGAAATAGTTGTTCAGTGAATTAATTCAATTTCTTCTCACTCTTTAAAATTGCCTTAATTAAACTGCATTAAAGATTTTTTATTTTACTCATGGCTTTTGAGACTACTCTGAAGTTTTCAGTAAGTCTCCCTCATTCAGGTTCTTCATTTAACTAAATGTATTTAAAAGTAAATGTATTTTATTTCCAGTACCACTGTGTGCACAATAAGTAAATTATGTAATGTTAATTTATACCTATAATTCAGGTTTAAAATTAATTACAATTGCTGTATCTCCAAACTTTAGAGAACATTAGTAAACCAGGCCGGTTAATTCCAGTTGATTTTAGGCTCCAATTTCTTTGTTCTAAGCATTTTTCTTAGTCATATTTTGGAATATCTAACTCTTTCTGAATGTGCAGTAGTTATTTCTCTCTTCTGTAGTACTGTACATTTCTTATAGAATCGTGTCATTGATCTTTGGAGAATGGCAACAGAATGTCATTGGAGCTTAGGAAAATAACATGTAAGCTGGGCTGGGAGTTAGTAGGGAACAAGGCCTTGAGAGAACATTCTCCAGAGTCAGTATATATGATGCTGCTCACTATATCCTTAAGGGCTTTATTGAGGATTAGGAGGATCCATAGCTGGTTAAACCCTAAAAGTGCTCATTTACATGGATTGGTGTTAAATTAGAAGAAGGTCCTAAATTTAGGTAAGGTCATTTTATCAGTGGGCTTAGATGGCAATGACAATCACACCCTTACCGAATTTGCAAGAGAAGGGACCTGGAGAGGGATGTTTGGGAAAAACTGGTATAGTTAAACTTGAATAATGGGTTGCATTTAGTTATTTCAATTAAAAATTTTAACAGCTAATTTCAGAATATCAGTGATACTACTTACGAGCATCCAGCAATACATGTGACAATCCTAGAGGTCTCCATTGACTATAAGTCAAAGAGGAGTCAAGTGTGGGGCAATCCTATCTTATCAAGTATTTATGTACCTTTGCACTCAGAATCAATAGGGTGATAGTTATTTTCTCTTTCCTGTGACAAAATAATACATTTAAACTTGTAGGCAGCTAAAAGCTACACTTTAAGAAGAATATTAACAATCTAGAATTTATCAGAATTAGAGAGTCCAGGATGGTGAAAAGTGCAAAACATGCTTTAACACAGAAAACAAATAATGGGAAATGTTTTAGTTTAAAAATATGTGTGGATGGGCTGGGCATGGCGGCTCATGCCTGTAATCCCAGCACTTTGGGAGGCCAAGGTGGGCGGATCACGAGGTCAGGAGTTTGAGACCAGCCTGGCTAACATGGTGAAACCCCGTCTCTCCTAAAAATACAAAAATTAGCCAGGCATAGTGGCAGGCACTTGTAATCACAGCTACTCCAGAGGCTGAGGCAGGAGAATTGCTTAAACTCGGGCGCAGAGGTTGCAGTGAGCCGAGATCATGCCACTGCACTCCAGCCTGGGTGACAGAGCAAGACTCTATCTCGGGGGGGTGAGGGGGGGAGGAGGGGTAAAAGAGAGTGTGTATGTTTATTTAATATTTAAAAGGCTATCACAATGAAAAGATATTAAAGTTATATGTGACTCAAAAAGAGCAATAGGTTAAAGTAAAAAGTTCAATTGGGCTTAATTCAATTTAGAGAAAATGATGATAAATCAGAGTGCCTGAACTGGAGAAAGTTGCCTTTTCAGAGGAGGAACATTTCCATTTTGCCCTCTACTAACCATTCCTTGATATAACATAATCCAAAATGCAAAGTGAATACCCAATTTGCCAATAAAAAGGCCCAGAAAAAAACATTTAGCAAACTTGATTATCAAGACATGTAGGAATATAGATATAATAGCAAATATCCACTTAATGATATTAACTAAATTGGATAGAGAGAGATTTAAATAGTGTTTTATTTTTCTATTTGTCTCTTGTATTTAATGTCTTCAAACTCTTGACATCAGTATCTCATTTGGCTAATCTCTGAGTCATTTAAAAGCTTTCCTTAGCACATCATTTTCATTTTCATGTAAATTATTTTCATGTAAATACTTTTTGAAACTCTGTGTGATGCTCTAATTGGAGATTTCATTCCAAGTCACAGATACCCTTTTATAAAGTATTAAAACATTTTTAACACTTGCCCTGTAGACAGATTAAATATGATATTGCTTTTAAAAGTTGTCTTCGAAGGACAGTTCACATAGCCAGTCATGAGGTCATAGATCCAGAAGTAGTTATACTTGTGTTCAATTTCTTTGTCTCTTTTCCTTTTTCACCAGTGTTATTAGATGATCTATAAGTTTCTCAAGCTAGCATGCATTGATGGAAGTCTAGACAAATGTATTTTTCACAAACAGTAATTTTTCATTTAAAATTAAGTAACTGATAAAGATCCTTGTAAGATAATACTTAAAAGACATAAATTTAAGGCATCTATTTACAAATAGATAATTGGTGGGGAGAAGAGTGGTGAATCAACTTAAAAGTGGACAGATACATTTTATAAACTACTATCTGATTTTTTTTTCTCTGAAACATAGTGCTAATTACCCTCCTCATATATCTTCAATATCCTTCCCCACTCTTAGTTAAAATAACTAAAGTCCAATCCCTCAGTTATAACTACAGAGTCCCCACATTCAGACTCACCCTGACTTTTGCACATGAGATCACATGGACCCCTTGCATGCCTGCCTTTTGAGTGGCTTCTGAGAGTGAAAGGAAGTACCATTAATTATTGGACAAAAACAGTGTTATAACCCTGGACTTCCCAAAGCAAACAGGCAGGTGAGATTACATTCTTGATGTTCCTTCTTCTTGACTTGCTCCTTGCTCCCTGCTCATTTTTAAATCCCAGACATTCTTCAAAGCCTAGCTGAGCCAATACCTCTTCTATCATACGTTGTATGTTAGAAAAGTAGACATTAAATATGTTAAAAAGTAAAGCAAAAATAGTCACTTCTAGGATAAAGTCTTGTTTTTCTAATATTTTGATATATTAGCAATTTTATCACTTGACAATTGAACACTTCTTACCATTCAACTCTTCTCAATTAATTGTACCTTTTGTGATACACTTAGCTACATGTGCAAAATTCAGGATCAAGGTCCCCATCTCCCCTAATAAGCAACATATAGATACCCTATATATTATACATAATATAGTGCTTTGTAGGCCATGATAAAGGGTTCAAACGCAGGAAAAATGAACCCTTTATTGTGGCCTTACAAAGCCCTATATAGTTGTCTACATCTTCTACTTCAAACCTTATTTGCTTCCATTTTCTATTCTATTCCCTATGCTCAAGCCACGCGGGCTTTCTTTCTATTCCTCAGACGTGCCCATTTTTTTCCTGCCTCCCTTAGAATATTTTCCCTTCTCCTCTGTGCCTGCAATACTGCTTCACCCACTTGCCCCTGGGGTCCTTGGAGGTGAGCACCTTCTCATTACTCACCACGAAGACCCCACACGCACTCTGTCCAAATAGTACACCATTTTACCAGGATCTTCCCACTCCTTTTGTTTCTTTTATTGCACTTACAATAAATATTTTGCATCCTTACTCAGTAAACTTTGCTGAATGAGTATATAAGCCCATGAATAAACGTCCCATAACTTTTCTTCTGACCTTTATCTCATACCAGAATTTATTATATGTAGTTGCCTTATCTCTCTATGTATAAACAATGAGCTCTCTCAGGTCAGAGACCACCCCCAAAAACTCATAACACAGAGTCTTCACAAGAAGGTGCATTTTAAATATTTATTACATTAATACATTAACATTATGTTAGTGACTGTTTAGAGCAAAACCATCAAGGCCATCTTTCCAGATCCTTATGTTTCAGGCAGATGTAGGCAGTCTCAAAAGGGGAATGGTAGAGGATTCTTAAGAAAATGATTAGTTTCTTCTTACCAGTCTGAGTCTGGAATAAAGGTAATCTGCTGTCAATTCATGCTGGTCTTGAAAGACATTCTTTTAGAGGTGAGTTCTATCCCAATGCCTATTCTGGTCAAAGGGAGTCTTTGAATCTATAAGACTGAAGTGACCATATCCTTGGATTACGCCTCCTTGCAGAAATCCTCCCTGAGAATTAAGGCTTTATTAGAATTCCTGAGACCATTGAGATTAGGAAAATTGTAATTTATTTGGCACCTTAAATTTAGCTCACTAAGGGGAGTTTCTTGTGTACCAATAACAGCTGCATTCCTGCCAGTCAGTTCCTTGAGCAGCAGGCAGCGAGGTAAACAGCAAAATACTCTGTAGATCAGGATCCAGCCTCAGGCTTGACTTTACTTTCTATTTTGTTATATGAGGTAAAATATGATTATCACGTGTGAGTTTGACAGTTATCATTGAGCTGAATATTTGAGTCAATCAATTTCCTAAAGTTTAGTCTGGTATAGTCAAAAAATCTTTTGTTTCCTTAAGAGTCAAAATGCAGATAACATTAACCTATTACAAGGTTTAAATAACTTCATAGGTGAGAAAATCCCTAGTGTTGTTGTAGGACATTGTGGATAGCCAATATACATTCATTTTTCTTTTCAGAGCTATAGCAATGTTAGCACCAGGAGCAAGCAGCTAAATATATAAGCTCACATCAAAAAAAAAAAATATATATATATATATATATATATGATTTTATGGGACTGAAGGAGTAGAGGGCAGTTGTAGCCCTCCTGTCCATGATCTTATTTCTCCAGATATGTTAATTACTGTTGACTGCCATAGCTGTAGGCAAGCTGGCTTTTGAGGCTAGCAGTGGTGGGGAGGGGGATATGCTCAGAAGAGATTGGATTAAAACTTTGCAGACTCTATTAATATTTTTATATCTCTTCTATAATTATCAGTTCTATAGGACAAATACTTTTTATTTTAAGCTATTATTTTTCTTTCTGTTTATGTAGCATCTCAATATGCTTGCTGCCCTGGAGTAAAGAAAGAGCGAGTCTAAGCCCTATGTAAATATAGGTAGGTGGTGATGAAAGGTTTTCGGTGATACTATGAAGAAAACATCTGTCATGGCTAGTAGGGAAAAGTTTCTCTCCTGGCAAACATATTTTCTGGGCCACATGAAATAAGATGTGTGCCAACAAGTATAAAGTATTATGGGGAGCCTATATCCAGGCCTTTGCTCTTCCTCCCATACTCTGCCTTTACACTTTTCCCAAAAACATCAATTTTGCAGACTTTGAGAAAACATTCTGCAAAGGGGCTTTTCGGGGCCCAAGAGAAATTTTGTAGCAGCCTCAATATCATATCAGTTTCCTGGTAAGCAACTGCGCTTGAAGCTTAGTTACAGAAGGGCACCAGTACACCTTTCCTCCCATATACGCCGTCTCTTACAGGTTCGCAGGCATCTCTGGTGCTAGGAGTGTACTTTCCAGTATTGGTAGAGCATTCATTAAGTTTACAAAAATAAAGGATAGAAAGGGAAAAAGATCATTTGATAAGACGTTGCAATATTTAAGAGGTCAAATTTCTGTGTCCTTCATTCCCCCTGGAAAATACTTGTTTTCCAGGTAACAGAAAGCTGTTTCTTTGATTAAAATGATTAATACAAATGTGTGTAGAGATTATACATGTTCTTAACCATTTATATATGATTTTAAAAGCCTCAGTTAACTATACTGTTCCCACTCTGGTTACACATATAAGCGTGCGCACGCGCGCACAAACACACACACACACACATCAGACCCCTACAGAAAAACATACTCCATGGTCCCATGGAGCCAAATATTCTGAGGCAGGATACAATTGATATTAGTAACATAATACCAAATATTTAAGAACTAATATCATTTAGAAGATATTACATGGAAGATACTGTGGAGCAATCACTTCTGCATTGCTGAGTCTGTGGAGTCTAGCTAAATATATTCAATCTGAACCTTGCAAGAAGAAGAAATGTGCATAGAGGTTTAAAAGAGGATGGTAATTTCTAAGAAACGTGAGTATTTTCTTATGATTGAAAAATGGTGTTCACAAAGGAGATGGCAGAAGATGGAACAAGTAAGCTAAACCAGTGTCAAATTTTAAAAGTCTGAAATGCCAGGATAAAATTGTTGAAGTTTAGGTAAACAAGATGTTAGCCAAGACTTGTAAGCAGGAACTAATATGATCAAGTTTGATTTTCAAAAGCTAAAAGTAGCAACAGTATATATTTTCTGCCCCTGGCATTTATTGACTTTGAGTACATGCTGTAAATTTGGATGCCCTTTCACACTGATACCAGCTATATTCTAGTAAGTGGTTAGCCACTTTATAGGTCCTAATGGTGCTTACTTCTCAGTCCGTTTGCCTGATGAACAGCATAATGCATCTGTCCAAAGTAAAACATTCCATATGACATTGTGTAGGGCCATGTTGATCAGTCTGCAACCATTGCCTTCCCAGTGGGCAACATCTATACAATTCTGCAAGACCTTCTTCAGCAGCCTTTGTAGTCTTTCGTTGTGTTGTACTTGTTTTCCCCTCTCTGGCTTAGTCACTCCATTCAGAGCCCTGGGTCAGAGCTGTCTTGGCATCCTGCTGCTGGCTCCTCCACAAACAAGATGTCCTCCCGGAAACTGATATTCCACCTTGAAAATTTATTTCAAAAAGAGGCATTTGGCCTATTGCTCCCTGCCAACTGAGACTCACTTGTGTTTGCTTTTCCATTATTGGTTGGCAGTGACGACTCACCCTTTCAACATCATAAGGCTCAGAAGTGATTCTGGCAATATCTACTGGGGGAAGATTACTTTATTGAGATCCTCTTGCCCAGCTCACTTCATTTCTTAATTGGTTTCGTAGGTTTCTTTTCAACCCATCTTTCTTCCTGGGCCCTATTCCAAACTCAAAGCATGCCTGTCTCAGACTTCATTAAGCCTTTTCTTCATGAGGATTCCTCTTCTTGAAATAGAAAACAGGACCCAACTACCCTAAGACTCAGCGTGCTACATAAAGTGATTTCAAAATACTATCTACAAAGATGTTCTTGACAAACAGCTTTTGATTTGCTTATTACTTTATTTGGCATACACTCAAGCATTTTAATTTCTCACTAATTTTAGGCTATTGAGACTTCTTAGAAATAGGCTTTTTCTGTTTGCATTAGTGAAAATTTTTTAATGGACTTAATTCCAGGTGGTCTAAACGTTGTATTTCCTGGAAGAATATCATATTTTATAGTGGAAAAGTCAAAATGATGACACATCACCTTATTATACTATAATCATCCACGGCCCTGGGAACTCAGGAGTCATGTAGTTCTCAATGCTAAAAAAGGGTTATCAGGCTGGTTGCAGTGGCTCATGCCTGTAATCCCAGCATTTTGGGAGGCCAAGGCGGATGGATCACAAGATCAGGAGATTGAGACCATCCTGGCCAACATGGTGAAACCCTGTCTGTACTAAAATACAAAAAATTAACTGGGCATGGTGGTGCGTGCCTGTAGTCCCAGCTACCCAGGAGGTTGAGGCAGGAGAATCACATGAACCCAGGAGGCAGAGATTGCAGTGAGCCGAGATCGCACCACTGCACTCCAGCCTGGTGACAGGGTGACAGACCAAGTCTCAAAAGGAAAAAAAAAAAAAAGGTTATCCAATGCTAGGTACTGTTTCTGAAGTACAAAATAAAATTATGTGTGTGAAGTACTCAGCACAGAGCTTGCTGTTCAGAAGATGTTATTCTTCTTATTTCTAAATTCAAATTTTCATAGATGAGAAGTTCAATGCCAGTTGATTTTTTTCTTTGTAGTTCTACTTCTAGAAGCTTGTATGAGCTCTTGTTTGTTTTTGTTTTACTTCATGTTCAGAGATTTTAATGTGATATACCCTGTGAGTCTTTCCAATTAAGTGTGGAATTAAATAAGCCATTGTAATCATCACATTCATTATTCATTTTTGTTATTTCTTATCTCTCTTTGTAGAATTTATATAAGTAGATTTTTAAAAAATTATTATTGCCATATTAACTTTCCTGGGTCTACCTTCCACTTCCCTAATGTTTCCTTCATCATCTTTGTTAATTCATGGCTTTATTTTGCATTTAAACTTTCTGGACAAAAAATCTGATTTCAGCTATCTTCTTCTTAATTTAATCTACTGAATTACCTTGGATTGAGTTCCCCCAGCAGAGGGACTGTGGCAAAATTTACTTATGTGAGGTTTGTTTGGAAGATCTCTGGTGGTCCACGTAGAGGCATGAGGAAGTAAAATAAGAAAATGAATGGAACCCAGAGAGGGTGCATTCTCAAGCAAGTTAAAACTGTGGGCAACTGGTGCTTATTCCACCACAGAACTCTGAGAAAGAACATACAAGTTAGCCCATGCAAGGGTTGAACAACCTTGCCTATTTATACACCAATTCCTCCCCAACCCCACCCCAGTCACTAGTTGAGACTTGGAAAGCAGATTTCTTCCCTGTTCTATGCTAAGGTGGAGCTATCCAGAGGCCAGAGCAAGCCCTCAGGCAAAAAGACAAATCAATGCTGATTGCATGGAGATAGTAGGGCAGGGGGATATGAGCAGAGTATCAACAGCATCTGTTACCATTTGTTTCAGTGGGTGATGAAGAAATACAATTAAAAACAAAAATCTTCTCCCAACCCAGAAAAACTCTCCTCTTTCCAGAGAAAGTGAACACTTTTATTAGTGAATGAGCATTAAACCTGAATGTGATGCACATCACAGGCAATCTACTAAGAGATTGCAAAGACAGAAAGAAATCTCACATTTTTTTATAGCCAAGCAGATACAACCCATTACATATGTGTTTTCAAGGAAAACAATAAGTAGGCCCAAGTAAGAGAATGTGACAGCACCATTTGTCAAACATAATTCACCCTAACCTTACCTGGCAATTGGGGTGAGCATCTGAATTAGCTAATTAGCTTTATCCAAAGGAAAAACAAACAAACTTCTTGTGTCTTTATGACAGGAAGTAGTTTTGCAACTTGGAACAAGACATCCACAAAGTTAGGCTCCTATCCTTTGACAGAAACTGGGAGACAGGGATGCTATCTCCAATGATGTTTACATTTTAAAGAGATGGTTTCCTGAGCCCTTGGGAAAGATATTACTAGGTCATAAACCTGACAAAAGGCCTATCTAGTCTCCAAAAGGGTTTATATATATTTCAAAAGGAGGAGAAAGCACTTATAATTACAAGTTTTCTAACATAAATGCTCTGAGAAAAAGGAGAGTGGGGAAATCTATTTTCAACAGGGAGAATCTAGCCTCTGATTTTTAATTTGTATTTGTCTGTACATGGTAAATCATGTCTTTTAACACCATACATTTTGTGTCTGAATTTCATCTCCTCAACTTCTTTTAAAAATGTTTTTATTCAAGCGTTCATCTTTTTTCCAGCAATTCAGTTGACATGTGTTTAAATGGCATGTGTTCAAATGTTCTTTCTGCTTTTCCTCTTTATGACTGCTAGTATTGGTTGCTGTTTTTATTTGTTAGTGTAGATATGGTTGTTGAAATGCAATAGTGTTAGAATCCTTCAAACAGTGGAAACCAAAGTGATTCTCACCCTTGTGGGCCTGTGATGCCCTGATACCTTTGCTCTTTGGTTTTTCTGATTTTTCCCAATCTCAAAGGCAAAGTGTACTCAACCAGTTTCTTGGTTTCTTCTCAGCTTTTGAGGTCAGGGAGAACTAGTACACTTACATGCACTTCCTCTGCGAGTCCAGAGATCTCTGAGTGCCAGTTTCTTCCCAGCACCTACTCCCCATTTTCTGTGTCTTGTCATTAGATTCCAACACTGTTTTCCAAGCACCTCTGTAGTCCTAGACCAGTTTCTTCTACTGAACCCTAAGAAAGCCCATTTGTATCCAGTTGGAATTGAGAAAGAAAAGATAAGAGAAGATCATTGAGATAAGTGTACTCCCATATTGCCCTGTTCCATGAAACAAGTATTTGTGAGTACACTAATTAATAGGCAACTGAAATGTAGGAAAACAAGTCTCTCATATGTTAATTCAGAGTGAAGACCTATCAACTTTTCTGTAGATTCCATTTGGTCAAGATTAATTGCCTTCTTTTCCTTGATTAAACAGCTGCTCTTACTATATCAAGACACTCTTTCACTGTTTGGACAACACCCTTTTATTATTTGAGGAATTAACCATCCTTGATATAGCCTAGAGTATATGATTTAATGTTCCTATTCTCTAGTAAACCCACAGACTACAAACCCAAGATAAGTAAACTTGTGTTTGGCACTAATCACTTGTGTTTGGCACTAACCACATCTCTGTGTTCAGAATCCTGGGCTACTTTTTAAAATATCACCCTTGGTTCTTTTGATGCTTGTAGTACTTTCTGTGCCCTTCATGAATCTAGTGAGTATTGTGTGGATGTGCAATTGTGAAGATTTCCCTTCTCATAGATGACCATTTGGAGTATGGATGGCCTGATCCTGGAAGAATTCTTGCCACATTTAATTCAAAGATAGCAGGCATTTGGAAGTGAAGTGACAAGAGTTAGAGGTGCTCTTCAGGATCTAGCTATTGCTTCTCTATCATGCACTTATATGCATCCATTTGTACAAAAACCCTTTGTGTGTGTAAATTTGGGGCAACTAATTTGTTCTGTCAGGAAAGAATTTCCACATATGCCCATTTAAAAATGTCTTTAAATTGGGGATTCAGAACAATCCCATTCAGGCTAAGGTATAAATAATAAATGTGTGTTTATTTGAATTTCTTGATGGTAAAAGCTGTGCAGACAATAGATTTATTTATTTCTGAAGAAGATTTATGTTAAAAGAAAGTTCCCTGGGGCATCAAGAAGAAAAAGCCTGCAAAAAGCACTTTAGTAAATTATAACTCTGAGGTAAAATATGGCAATAATAATTGCTAAAGCAAAAATAAAAGTACAAAACTTGGATATACAGTATATCATGTGTTTTCAACTTTTTTATTATTTGGTTTATTCCTGTCATTGGAAGAGCTACTCCTGTGAAATTAATTGGGATTTTAGAAGTTTAACTCTTTTGGTTCATATATAATTTAGCATATTGTATTAAAACTAAGATACTTCCTATAATACTGTTTAGTAAGAGTAATATTGGATTTGGTCTTGTGTTACTACTGTTATAACTACCCACATTTTATAGGTGAGGAATTCGAAGGCTGAAATAGTGGAGTCACTTGCCCAAGTTTACACAGTATTAAGTGGAAAAGCTGGAATTTTTAATTCTGGCCATCATGAAATAGAAACTGTACTGTTAATTGCCATGATATGTGGTCCATGTTATGTGATCCATGTAACATATTGTAGATAATAACCTTACAGTCTATTTGAAAGGTACAAATTCAAGAAAGTACACATGATTCTGTGGACTAAATGTTTGTGTCCCTCAAAATTCATATGTTGAATCCTTGATCCCTGATATGATGGTATTTGGAAGTGGGGCCTTTGGGGGTAATTAAGTTTAGATGAGATCATAAGGGTGGAGTCCCCCATGGTGGGATTAGTACCCTTGTAAGAAGAGGTGCCAGAGCCCTCTCTCTTCTGCCATGTGTGGGAGGATACAAAAATAAGGTGACCTTTCTGCAAGCCAGGAAAAGAGCCCTCACCAGGAACGGAATCTGCCGGCATGTTGATTTTGATTTCCCAACCTTCAGAACTATGAAAAATAAATGTCTGTTGATTAAGCCACTCAGTTTATGGTATTTTGCAGTAGCAGCCTGACCAGACTAAGAAATATAGTGATGTTTATTTTTCCTTATCTTTCTAAAACACTTGAGCTTTTTGGTTTAGAATAATTTTCAAGTATACATTTCCTTAAAGTTATACATTTAAATTAACTTAATAACTAAACCAATATCAAACTGATACACTCTTCCTTATACCAAAGTAACATTTAATTTTATTTAAATTTAATTTGGAAACTTTTGTAATTATATTATTTCAAGTGAATTTAATGTACAGAATAAACATTCATTAACATAAAAGTGTGGCTTTGGCATAGGGCAGACCATTTTCAAACCCCTTACTAACTGAATAACCACAACCAAGTTACTTAGCTTCTCTGAGAGAAAAACTTTAACCTTATTTGAGTGTTTATAGTATGCCAGGCACTGTACTTGCAATTTATGTATGTTACCTCATTTCATCTTTTCATGAGAGGTCCGCAGTCTCCCTGTTTTACAGATTAAGAAGCTAAAGCTTAAAAATTAAACAACTTTCTTCAAACATCACAGATAATAAATATCAGAGCTATTAATTCAAATCTAGATTTATCTGACTCCAAAATTCATTTTTTTTTTAAACCACTATACTCTAGTGCTTCCAAAATCCACCCAATGTTTCTATGGTTCTATAAACATTAAATTACATATGTACATAAAATATGCAGGAAAGTCTTTACTGTAGATGCTTAAATAATAACATAAAAGCGGTCATTTATTTTTAATTTTGCTGGTCATGTATCATAGAAGACACTGTATTTGGATCGTAGTATTTTCTAATACTGAAGTTCTCAGTATCAGGATGCCCGTGAAGGGAAGTCACGTGCTAAGTCATAAACTACTGAAGCTGTGAGAAACCTGAGACATCATCATGTCTAATGTTGCCTATTGTTTTTGGTTTATTGGACTTGCAGAACATTATCGTCTCACCTGAAATTTTTACATATAACGAGGTCCAACTTGAGCTGATGTCATTGAATGCATAGGAAAGGATCATCATTTTGATCCAAGGTGGTCCCTGAAGTGTCTCCTGGAAACCCTGTGACTCCCTATAACAACATTTGAAAACTTCCTCTTGGGTTACCTCCTCTTCTTTTGCGTACGAAGTAACTGGGAGCCACAAGAGCAAACTACTTGCTGCAGTTTCCCACAGTTAGTAGTTCTAAGGCAGCTTTTAACTTCTGGTCAAGGCTCTTGCTGGACCCTGGGCTATATAAGAATCTCTACAGAAAAGGTTGATATTTGAAATATTGAAATTTGAGTTTTGAAATATTTGTTTTAATACACAGAGAGAAGTAAAATAAATAAATAAATAAAATATTTCGGTCTTTAAAATCATGGCAGTTGAGGCTAACCCATATTACTAAAAAGTTTCCAGTCTTTAGGACCTTTCTCTTTAGACTGTAAAGATTCATAAGGTTGATTTCAGGGCAAAAAAGAGTAAGCATTATATTTATACAGCTATTGATTCTCCTAAAGTTGAAATATCCTAATCAGAACCTATGCAACTGCCCATACCGTTATCCAGTAAGGTAACAAGCCACAGGAGGGACTAGGTGGGAGAGGCTATTGTCAAAAAGGTTACTTATCCTGATTTTTTTATGAGCACCACAATAGTCTTTTGGATTACAACCTTCTATTGTTTGTTTATTTACATAGCCTGTGTTTGTGCTTATAATTGCAGAACAAATATGTAATGTGGTACATACTTTAATTGCGTAGTTTTTTTATCTTAAAATGAATTATAACTGAATATGCATATTTAATGTTGGCAGAAACACTTCCTATTCTAACTTGGGTCCAGTTGGAGGCTTGCAAGTTAACAGACAATAGATTAACAGAGGAAAAGACAAAATTTACTTACACAGTCATGTGGCAGTTGCTCAGTACTGAGTAGTTCACTGAATAGCCAGAGATAAAGTTTATATACCAAACTTTAGGGAAGGGAAGTTTTCAGATTTTAATGAATGGATGGTTCTGATAAGCCTTGTTTACACAATATTTTGGAATGTCCTAGTGACTAAGTCCAGAGCCTCCCTGATTGGAGACCACTCCAGAGTCAGGGGTTGTGGTAGCTGACTTTGGTAAATCTCTGTTTCAGTAAGATTATGGATGTTCAGAACGTATTTTTTTTCTGCTTCTTTAGCTCAACTGTTTTCACTTTAAAATAACATTTGTGTGAATCCTGGGGCTCCAAATGGGTCTCCACATTTTTCCCATCTGAAACTTCGCTAGAAATTTCACAAAAAAAGCTAGGTTGATTGCTCTGGGGAGAAATTTCAGGTTAAAAATTATAAAATATGATATCTGTAAAAGGGAAACAAAAAGATTAATGATTGAAGCATAGGATAAATCCAGTTTTTAACTTCATAGTATAGCCCACTGAGAAGAGTTCTTGATGTTGAGCTCTAAGTATCTTAAGTGAGAACAGAAGTGGTATGGCTGTAGTCATGGTTATTTTCTGGAGCACAGCATGGAAGGTGCAAGTGTTCTGGTGAAATTTTTGAGTGGCCCAAACTGTTTCAGCAATAAATCTTTTGGTGTTTATGTGAAGTCAGAAAGCTTTTGTTACAGGATTCTGGGAAAGTGGCAGTTTTAGTTCTCAGTGATTCCAAGTGAGGAGGGTGGTAGAAAAAGTGGAACTGTTAATTGATGACAAAATTAAGAAGATGGTAGGACCCAGTTTACAAAGAGATGCAAGTAGCTAAAAAACAATAAAGATTAGAATCTAATAACCCGTAAGAGTGGTTTATAGTTTTCCATTGAAACATAAACCTTGTCTTTACAGTACACCTCATTTTTAATCAATGATAATCAAAGGAAAATTATTCTTGTTTGCAAAACAAGTCCTGATTACATTTGATTTGGCTTGATTATAACCTAAGTGAAGCAATAATGATAACTGACCACATGGATCTTTTTAAGTTTCCTCTGCTGGAGTTTTTTATTAACATAGGGAATCTCAGATTGGACTTTTAAAAGCCTTCTCAATGCTATGAAACCAAGCCAAGAACCAACCACCCTACTTCACCTGCAGTACCTATAAATTTTGGTGAATTCCTCTCTTCTCGAGGTCCCCAGACTATCCCAAGTATCCTAAGCCCATCCAGAAGTGACCTTTGTTACTTATCTTAAAGGCTAGAAACCCTGTAATCTAAGTATCAGGCCAGTTTTCCCAAGAGGCCTTTGTAAGCAGTGGCTCCATAAAGTCAGTCTTAGTTATGGCCATGTGTGGTAGCTCACGCTTATAATCCCAGCACTCTGGGAGCCAGAGTTAGGGGATCACTTGAGCCCAGGAGTCTGAGACCAGCCTGGGCAACATAGTGAGACTTAGTCACTATAAAAAAAAAAAAAAAAAAAAAGAAAGAAAGAAAGAAAGAAAGAAAGAAAGAAAGAAAATGAAAAAAACTTTAATTACTCAAAATTGCCTGATCACATCTGATTTGATGCACATAATTCTCAAATATGACATTCCAGTCCAAACTATGGTTATATAACGAGTTTCCAATTTTTTTTTTGAGAACAGATTCCCATTCCTATTGGACTTATGCAACTGTATTGCCATGAAAATAAGAATATTCAATAAGAGTTTCCCAATTCTGAAGGAATTAGACAAAGAGAAAAAGATAAATATTTCATTTCTGTTTATAAAAGTATCATCAATTCAAATGGTATGAAGTATAAATAGCTTGAGAAAAGAGAAAAGAGTTCCTTAAATTCAGAAAACAGGACATTAAAGAACCAGTACTGTTTCAAACAAAGGCCATAACAAATTATAATCACCCTTTCTTAGTCTACTGAGGCCCATATAATTACTTCTTGTTCTGCTTAACTTTATGAGGGGTCTTATGAACTCCTCAGTGTCTCCACTATAGTTCTGAAAATCTTTAATCAGTCTTGTGGTATGTTCTTTTTTTTTTTTTTTTTTGAGACAGAGTTTGGCTCTGTCGCCCAGGCTGGAGTGCAGTGGCACCATCTCGGCTCACTGGAAGCTCCACCTTCCGGGTTCATGCCATTCTCTCGCCTCAGCCTCCGGAGTAGCTGGGATTACAGGCATGCGCCACCACGCCCGGCTAATTTTTTGTATTTTTAGTAGAGACGGGGTTTCACTGTGTTAGCCAGGATGGTCTCGATCTCCTGACCTCGTGATCCGCCCTCCTCAGCCTCCCAAAGCGCTGAGATTACAGGCGTGAGCCACCGCGCCCGGCCCCTTTTCTTAAAAGTATTTAAATAATGACATCAGAAGGTTGCATCCCAGAGTACCTGTTATAGTCATTTCCGTGGGTCTCAGAGGGAATCCCGTTTTGTAAAGACAAAGCATGCTATCCAGTAGCTGCTTCCAAGAGCTTTCAGGAAAGCATCAGAGTAAGATATATATATATATTTGCAGTGACTTTATTTCTTCATCACATTACCTAGGGTAAATTACATAATTCACAAGAATTTGACACTGTTGTCATCAGCCACATCTGAGTGGAGCATTTGCTTCTTAGTTTGGTATTAATAGTAACTACCTATGAATGACAAAAAGCTTAAAATGGCTATGTTAAATATCTGACGTGAATTCATTATAACACAGTTGACAAAGGATTTTGGTGGTTTCTGTGGAATACAATATTTAATTTATGGAATTTAAATCATAGAATTATGACTGACTACATTATACCAGGACGTATCAGGGAGATCAAGGTTATTGACCAATTCCTAGGAACTTCATAAAATTTCTGAAACAATAAAATCTACCCATACAAATATAAGGAAATTTAAGTAACTCTTCTTATTTGACAATGCTTCCCATACATTTTAACATATCAAATGAACCTAATTAGTTTAACATCTCTCTTTTTACAAAGTGAGAGAACATGAATCCTTAGAGATTTTCCAGGGGCTCTCTGAAAAATCTAAGTTGGTTTGGGGTCAAGCAGACTTCATTTAGAATTTGATTTTTGCAAATTGTCAAAAATGTCAAAAGATTGAACACTGCATTAAATAGGATCACAGGTCACTGTGAAACAATACTTTAGTTATCCACTTACTTAAGTGACAATACAAGATTTCAAAAGTAAGTATACGAGGTAACATACTTGCAGAGAGAAAAACAGCAACAACAAACAAATAAATTAAAAAAAAACTCAGTTTTTTTTTTTTAAGTGAGAGGACTTGGTTCTCATAAATAATTAAAGATGTGATAAATGTTAACATAAAGCGTAGGAAATTATTCTGATAAGACACAGAATGTTTTCTAGGCAGATTACTTAACAGGTAAAGAAAAAGTTTTATAATTTCTTATTAAGGGCAGACCAGTAATCCAAGAAAACTTTGTTGTTTTAACAGAGAAAAACCAAACTCTAGTTTTGAATCAGTAATCTTTTGATATACATTTTGTCATTTGAAAGACCACCAGGATGGCTAAATAGTAGAAAGGAGAGCTTTATTGGCATTAACTTGCAAATTGAGAAGAGAAACTCTCCAGTGTGGATCTAAGGTGCTCTTTATTTAAAGAAGGGAATGACAGGTTAGGTCTTATGCCTCACAGGGCCTGTATTATACATATTCAGCATGTTTTGGGGGAAAAGCTATATGTATTTATGAGAGGGCATGCCCAGTGGGTAAACATGTGTATAACATACATCCCATGTTCACTCTGACGTGAGGTTTTAGCATTGAAATGACATGGAATTCAGCTCTTTATGTCAAAAGGTGAACTGTAGTACACAAAGACAGTTTGTGTGCAGTCCCTATAAGCTGGCTGAAACTGGCTTAAGTTCTGCAATAGCTAATCAGAAAAGAATATTTGTAAAGTCAGTCCTCTGTCCTGCAGAGTTGTGGTGGTTTGGGCTGTAAATCAGCCTGAGAGCTCTGTTGTTAAGAAGTTTAGCTGAGGTGTAGTTTTCCTTATAGTGGTAGGAATTTGGAAATTTGCCATGCCATCTGGGTCCTGAACACTGGACTCCTAAGTAACTTTTGTTTCCTTAGCCTTAGGCCCATCTTGTTTGATAAATGGGCATCAATTTTGATCCCTCAGATCACAAGTCTATTAAAACAAATTTTTATAAAGAAACCCATTCAAATGTAGCCAGCTTTGACCAGGCAACATAAGACTTATTTTCTATAAAACTTCTACAATTTTTCATATCAATGCAATATAAGAGTTATTTCCCACTAACATTCTAAACTTTCAGGAGTTATTTTTCTGGTGGTGGTGGTGATGGTGTGATGCCTCACAGGAGGATCTAGAAGGGCAAAATACCAGCACCTGGAGTAGAACAAAGGAGGAATATGTGTTCCACATTAGATTATGAACAATTTATGATATATTCTTCATAAAAATACAAAAAGCAGGTAGCTACTATTCTTAACTTGACAACTTAGATCACTTTCCTGCACAATAATCTTCCTACAAAGAGCAGTATGGGTTTATAAAATTATTGGATACACTGCTTATGGAAGATGTGATTCCGAAGGGTCATCCCAAGTAGCAAATGATGATCTTCCAAGGAGAGTAGGGTCAATTAACTGCTGTTTTCTTTATTTTATTGAGCTCCATAATGAGCTAGTCATGTCACTCTAGGAAATGTCACTCAATGACCATATTATTTTGCTTAATAGAGTTGAAAATTATTTCAGTTCCCTAGGAAATTCTAGGTGTAAGGAGAGGGTAACACAAAAATAACTGAATGGGAATCAACATAGGAAGTAATAGAAAGGGACAGTGTCAAGAAATCTCTGATTTAATTATTTCAGCATGTATGCCCAAACCAGCTGGCCCCAGAATAAACAAGCAGCTTGCACCTTAGCAGGACCCAAAGAGAAAAGAAATCTTTACTACACCTCATGAGAGTATTTTCATTCAGTGTAGTGTTGCCTCTCCTCCCCAAACTGATAATTGGGCACTAAGAAAAGCTCTCAAGTTGAAAAGTCCTAGGTAGAGTTTGAAAGTATCCTTAGAGAAGTGAAGAATGGATTTCCAGGCTGCAAGGTGCTATTATCAGAAGTATTTGAGTAGGTGAAGGGTATATATACAGGAACGCAGGGATGCCTTCCCATCTCTTTCATGGATCCTTCATCTTTTAAAACAATGAGCATTTCTAATCAAGTAAACACTCACATTAACATGGGTTATACAGTTAACTCACATGACATCAACAGCAAATTTGTTCTTTTTTAAATCCAGGTAAGGTCTATTCATGTCATGTCTCTAATCTCTACATAAAACCAAGAATTACATGTTTAGTTTTATTTTTTGAAATTTAGTGAAGTAGCTGCTGGTTGTTTCTGTGAGGGACAAGAAAGATAAAACATAATTAATGTTATTTATGTTAACTTTTCTGCCACATTTTACATCTTGAAATTCTAAAAAATGCAAATCTGCTTGCAAAATGAACTGGGTCTGGATCTGAATTGGCTGAAGCTATTTAAGTCTTCTAACCACAGTTTCATAATCTGAAACATGTGAATATGTACAAAATGATTTTGATTAGAGATGATATGTATAAAATACTTAGTATACATTAACAAAATATATGGATCACATATTGATTTGCTGTACACCTGCACTGAATTAACCAGGTTTCAATAATGGCTTGGGCACAATACTAGGAAAAGTCTCTTCCAATAGAAATGTATTAGGTTGGTGCAAAAGCAATTATGGTTTTTGCCATTAAAAATAATGCCATTAAAAGCAATTAATGGCAATTGCTTTTCCACCAACCTAGTATTATTGGTTAACCAGAAGTTACGTAGCCCATGCAGAATCAATGCCAGCAAAATGTTAAACCACCCTTTAATATTCCCCTGTTGACAAAATAAATAAATAAAGGCAGCAAGCGATAGAAAAGCTGTGGGTATAAGGCTTGCTGATAATCTGGGCTGGTGAGAACATAGACTTGGAAATAAGCCTTGACTTGTATAGTTACCCTACTTTTTATCACAATCAAGTAACCTTCCTAACTTCTCAAAAAGTGGCTAGAAAGTTTTAGTTTTCTTAAAGAACACAGTGATAATCTTTCACTTACCATCTGCAAAATGCTGAACATCAAGCACAAAACAATTCTTCCCTTCCAGAATGTAGTCATGTAGACTACAGTGTTAATGGCAATTCTGTGACTTATTTTCAGGGGTTTAGCATTTTCATTTAGCTGATTAAAATCTGTTGTAGATGATAATTATGCCGGTTTTTAAAATCATTCAAACACTCAAAAATGATTTTAAAATCTTTAAATGGCTTGTAGCAGATTTTTATTTCTCAAAGGGTTTCTTTGAGAAAATTATGGAAGCAAATTATGGAAAATTTGCTTAAATTATACACCTTTGTCATATTCTCAGTAAATGTTAAATCAATGTAAAATGAGTGGATTTGTATTTCTAAAAATAACCTTTTTCACAGGAAGAAGAACTAAGGAAGAGTGGGGAAGCCAAATATGCCCACTTGAGTGATGAGCTTCATGTATTAATTGAAGTGTTTGCTCCACCTGGGGAAGCTTATTCACGTATGAGTCATGCATTGGAAGAGATTAAAAAATTCCTGGTTCCTGTAAGTGTCTTTCATTTTTTACAAAGATGTTTCTTATCAGCTTCTATTTTAAAATGCACCTTTGATCTTCACTGACTTTTTAAAAGGAAACTCATATTGCAAACCAATGATCTATCCACAGGTCGATACAAAGCTAAAAAATAAAATAGGATACCAAAACCACTTAACACAGGACCTGGCGTGTTGCCATATAGTGATGGTTCCATAGCAATGTTTGTCATGCTGGTGTCATGCCATGCATCGGTTCATAGTCATGAAGAAAAAGACATGTTTATAAACAGAAATATATAATTGAAGTTGTATACTTTTTTATTGCATCTCCATCACTTGAAAGTTTATCGTTTGCAATTTACAATTAATAGGGAAATTATTTCCTGGTGTAGTGGAAAGGGAAAGAGATCAGATATGTAATAATTTGAAATAAGACAATGATATCATTTAAACATATCCAATGTATTTTCATGTGATGGCATGCCAGGTGTTGCCTCATAATAAAACATAATATAAAATCATCAATATTAGTAAAGCCAGACATCTGTTGACTTTAAACAAAAATTGGAAAAATAAACTCACTCTACCATGTGAGGGCAACAGAGAATGTTTATTTAGTAGGGCAACAAATTCAGGGTTGCATACTGGTAGAATTCTCTACTGATTTTCTAAGAAATAGAGGAAGGTTAAATGAATGAAGCTTTCCTAAAGATTGACAATTTAGCATTCTAGGAAGAAGTCATTCAAATAGAAATCTTGGCATCAGGCTTGGAGCTGGGAATAAGACAATTAGAAGAGAATGCTGAGTACAGTTTTCTGGAGCGTCTGGCAGAGTCTTCAACAGAGAAAGCACACAGCTAAGATAGATCTGCACAATGAAGAAACTGCAGATTTCTAAATAAGCAATAAACTAAGAGGAAATGGTGGGTAAGGTTCATTGATTGGCAGTGATTTTAAGAATGGGAAAAGAAAAATAAAACCAGAGAATTTCAAGAATTTAAAAGCATCAAGATCTAGTCACATAATCTATTTATATGTCCAGTTTAAAAATTAATTTCTGTCAAGGCAAGGTTATAGAATAATTGCAGACCGTTCTGATTATTCTTAACTTCATATGCACACTGAATTTCTGCACAATTTATTATCTGATGCTCATCTGAACATCTCCCTAACTAGATCTCATATTTATTAAGAATGAGGATGCTACGTTTTATTTTCCTTTTGCCTCCAAACTAAATGCCTAGTGCTGTATTGAGTAAGGAATTTTACTGTATTTAGTTCAGACCAGACCTCTGATAGCATACATAGTATAAAAATGAGACTAGGACTGTACATTACTAACATACTACATGACTTCAAGTCATTTAAATTCTCAAAGCTTCAGTTTATTCATCTTTAAAATGAAGATAATTATCATTGACCAGCCTCTATCACAGTTATGATGAATATTAAATGGGGTAATGCATATGAAAGGACTTAGAAAATTATAAAGCAGAATATTAATGGATGGTTTAAATATATTGTAGAAAATATAATAGAAATATCAAGGGATGATTTTCTGCATAGTTATTAATTGATATGTATATCTACACACATATGTATATATACATATATGTATATCCTACTCTGTAGGCTAAGTTAACACTCCTCTATTAGAAATGTCAGTAATACATCTCGCTTGCTCACTTCCTAGACAGAATGATTCTTGTAAGTATTTCATTTATATACTCTCCACTGAAATATATACTGTGTGAGGATAGGGCTGGCTGGCAGTATCTCCTTTGGCCAACACTGTATCCCCATCTTAGCATCATGCCTAGCACAATAAATATTTACTTGATAGTTTGACTGATGGAATGATGGAATGGCTGCCTATAGGCATGAGGAGTGGTGCAGGGGATAAAATAGCTATCCAGGTAAAATTTGGGGGCTAATACCCCACAGTCAAGATGCACCATATATACAGACTCAGATGAAGAATGAAAATATTACCATGGCTGGTGTGACCTGGCCATGCCTACCTCTATGATTTCATCTTGTATGTCTAACTTCTTATTCATTGCACTTCAGACATGCTGGTTTTTGTTCATTCAACAGTCCAGGCTCACTGCTCATTAAGCACCTTTGAAGATTATTCTCCAAAGTGTTGACATGGCTGTTTCCTTAGCATCCAGCTGTCAGCTTAAAGGTTAGCTTTGTAGAAAACTCTTCCCCAACCACACAATCTAAAGTAGCTGCCCCCTTTACCTTCTATCATGCAGTCTTACTATATTTTGAACGTAGTATCACTAACCACTCTATTTAACATTATAATTCATTGTTCCATTATACCTTAGTCCTTTTCACTTATTTTCCGCATAGCTCCTATCACCTTCAGATGTTTTATATCTCTCTGTGTGTGTGTGTGTGTGTGTGTGTGTGCATCTTGCTTATCTTTGATTTCTGTGCTAGAATATGAATGTCATGAGGGCTATTCTGATATGTCTCTCAATGTTTTATTAGTAAATTTTCCCATCAATGAAAGTCATAAATTTATCCCATTTGCCTTGCTTGCATCAGCAGAAAGCAAAGAATGGGAGAACCGCAAGGGGCAAAAATGAACTGCCAATTTTTTTTATTCTATGAAATGACTTGGTGATCTAAGGTTCTTTTGATATTTTATATTAAAGCCCACAGAAATGCTAAAGTTTCTATACATTAACATTTGCAAACATTGTAGATGAAGAATTCTAGGCAGTAAGAGACATGCTAGAACAACAAAGAAGGCTTATATAGGGCAAGACTCTGGAATTCCACTGACATCTTGTTCTTCTGCGAAAGGGATTAATTTTCCATGGTAGGACTTTTTACCTTCTTCTACCTCTTGTATGTTATCCAGAATTTACTCAACCTGCTGTATGTCCAAGGGTTGTAATTGTCTAAGATAACCAACTTTAGAACATAGAACTCCTTGTGAGCTGTCTGAATGCTTTAGGATGCTGGTAAACAACCCACTTTCAGCATTTTAAGTGGATTGCTGAAGACAAAAGAATTATTATTGCCTTGGGGAAAATTTCCAGCCTGTTGGTCTCCATTCACACACTGTAGTCTTTTATTTATTTATTTATTTATTTATTTATTTATTTATTTATTTATTTATTTTTTAAGATGGAGTCTTGCTATGTCGCCCAGGCTGGAATGCAATGGAACGATCTCGGCTCACTGCAACCTCCACCTCCTGGGTTCAAGCGATTCTCCTGCCTCAGCCTCCCGAGTAGCTGAGATTACAGGCACATGTTACCATGCCCAGCTAATTTTTGTATTTTTAGTAGAGATGAGGTTTCACCACATTGGTCAGGCTGGTCTCGAAATCTTGACCTCATGATCCACCCGCCTCAGCCTCCCAAAGTGCTGGGATTACAGATGTGAGCCACCACACCCAGACACACTATAGTCTTTTCAAAACAAATAGAGTGTCAAGGGTCAATAAAACACCTTTAATTTGAACATGGCTAATTTTAAATCTCTAGTACTTTTGGGAGGTGAAGTATTAAAGTTTTCATTATATTTGATTATTTATCTTAAAAATACAGGTTAGAATTGTAAAATAAATTTTTTGATGAGTAACGAGAAACAGGATATAAAATCCTAAACTAATATATGCTTCAATAATGTTGATGCACTCCTCTCTTTATATTCTATAAAGAGGTAAGCAAGTATTGCCACTATTGTATTTTATACTATTTCTTTCTTTCATAGTTCAGACACCAGGATTGCCACATATGGTTGTGAGAGTTGTGTCTTGTGCAACTCTAGGGGGTAACATTTACACCATAGTTTGTGAATAGTACTACCTAGGACCATGAATACAACTTTCCTATTTCTAATCCTTCTCAGTATGTTACTTCAAAATGATAACACTGTTTTATTTTCCTAAATTGGCTTATTCTCACCTTCAATTCAATTGAATTAATAAGTTTTACTAATGCTTAATTATTAACTCATGACTGAAACATAGTACATTGTCTCATAATTAGAAATTATGAAGTGTTGCATGAAATTCTGCTCATTGTGTGTTTATATATTCTTTCATTAAAAAGATGAAAGGAGGAGTTTTTGCACAGATAATTTGATTAGGTCATGGATAACAAATAGATTGCTTTTTTACATCTTCCAATAACTATCCTATTGACATAGTTAAGAGATTGTGATTCTCTTTTCTACCTTGGCCCATCATGGCCCAGAATCTTCCCAACACAGCATGCTGCACAGCGTTACAATATTAGCAGAGTTGACAGAACTTGAAAAATTTTGCCATGCCAGGCTTAAGTCTTTAATGATTATCACTAGAGGTCTATATAATTTAAAGGAAAGATATATATATAACTTATATACTTATGTAAACGTGTGTGTGTATGTGTGTAACTGTTACTAGACTCATATATAAGATTTTAAGTCAATTTAAGAGAGAAAAAATATAGATCATTCCAGTTTCTTTCTTTCCTGCATTAGTTGGATGTGTGTCTTAGTGATAGCTGTGATTCTTGAAATGGGGGAATTAGGGTGTATTATCTCATTTCAAGTTTGAGATACTGGTAACACATCTGGGAAACCTACCAAGAGCCTGACTATGGAGGAAAAGTAAAACCTTTTTCTTCTTTATGGCAAAAGCAAATGGAGGATATTCTTGCCTCCCTTCTTCAAACACTGTAATCCTAGTTCTGAAATTGGAAAATGTCACTGATTACTAACAGCAATCATACTGGTAAGTAAGTAAATGTAAGGAAAAATAGAAAAGGGAAGCAGAATTTTCAGTCTAGTAGATAGATCTAAACTTTCATACACTAAAAAAAAGTTATAAAGTTTTAGAAGATGATAAATATAAAAATGTGTCCCTGAAATTGATGCTATAATTTGAGAAAAAGTGAAAATTTGATCAGTCTATTTTTTATTTTTCTTTTTGAGACAGAGTCTCACTCTCTCACCCAGGCTGGAATGCAGTGGTGTGATCTCAGCTCACTGCAACCTTCTCCTCCCAGGTTCAAGTGATTCTCCTGCCTTAGCTGGGATTACAGGTGCATGCCACCACACACAGCTTATTTCTGTATTTTTAGTAGAGATGGGCTTTTGCCATGTGGGCTAGTCTGGTCTTGAACTCCTGACCTCAGATGACCCACCAGCCTCAGCCTCCTAAAATGCTGGGATGACAGGCATCAGCCGCCACACCTGGCTGATCAGTCTTTTATGCAGGTGAATATATAGGGAAAACAATGTATTCAACTAAACCCCACCAGCCAGCAAAAGTAACTGATAAATGGCAAGACCTAAAAGGTGAGAGATGGCAGATACATTTTGACTGGCTGACGGCAGGAGTTCAACATTTATAGCAATAATATCCTACAAGCAAGAGAATGATTGGTTACAGAATTTAAAAACAAAGTTCAATGCAGAGAGGGAAGCAGAATCCATAATCCAGATTTCATTCCTTCATTGTTGTGGTTGTTAAAATGTTGTCAAGAGTTCCCTCATACTGCTATCTCAAAACCAATTAATTCCCTTTTCTTTCTTGTAACTAACCATATTCTAATAGTGTGGTAGCTAATGGCAGTAAGCACAAAGCCACATGTATTTATGTAATTATTAGTTGCTCAGAAATATTTCCTGTATTGCTATAGTGCTATAGCACTATGATAATAGTCTGATTTTCTTGGAAGACATCTGTAATCATCTATGGAGTATTTCTTCTTATCTGATAAGTTGTAATAGATAATACAGATCTATTAGAACAAAACTAAAATTCTTATTAGTTCTTAGAATAGAATAATAGTAAGAATCATGATTATTATTATTGAAATCCAGGACTACTGTATCATTGCTAATTGATTGACATAACTTGGAAGACAGATAAAAGAAGCAGTTGGCATAATAATCATATGTCAACACTGACCTGCAAATAGCTTTTAGATGAATGTGACTCAAAAAGACTCATGATTACTGGAGATTGAGCAGAAAAGGTGCCCAGTAATCAGAATCTGTTAAGTAAGGTTTATAATTTTTATCTGAGATAAGAATTGGAAATAGGTGAATAGATCATACTAATTAACACAACAAATATTTCTGGACACCAAATATATGCCAGGCACAATTCTAGCAATGTATGGTACATGAGCCACTGACCTAGTAGAATTTAAGAACCAGAAAAACTATTTCTAAAATGTAAAAGATAAAGATTATAAAGACTTATTTGAGAGCTACTGGAAATGGGAAACCAGATTGGATAGTAATGTGTTTAAGGAAGGATGGTGGCAACAATAGAGCAGGAAACACTGATCAAACAGAAAGTGATATTCCTAGGGTCAACGAAAATCAATTGCTGGCAAAGACCACCACCATACAAACAAGGGTAATTTATCTACTGAGACAGAGACAAAGAGAGAAAGTGGAAGGGGGAGAGGAAGAGAGAGAGAAAGAGAGTTCGATTAGCCTCTTGAAAATATTGATGACCCACAGCCAAAGATTCTATTTCACAGTGAACATTTTAAAATACACCAAGAAACACCTCCAGAGTATAGCATATTTTGAAACTGATTTTTTAACAAAATTATGTATTTCTGAAATGTATCTTCAACTTCTAGCAACTAATTCTTACTTTTTAAAGAGCTAAATAACATAAAACATTTTTTTTGAATTGCCCTTCCTTGATTAAGTGATCTCATTTTACTACTTTGAAACTCAGCAAGCTACAATGAAAAATGTATTGATTCTTCCAGATGATATTTAAACTAGATAGCCAGGAAACTTCAGAGAATCCCTATTGTACCAAAAATATAACTTCTATCTCATCTTTAGTATTTTTGTTGTTATTGTTGTTCCCTTCTCATTCACTCCACGCCAGTCTTTCTACGTAGTGTATGTAAGGATGCATATATAACAATGCCTTAAAATACAAGTACAAATGGCTTACTGGATGGTCTGTACTCAATGTGATACAAATAGGACTTGGCTTTATTTTTCTTAACAACTGTCATTCTCCCCTTCTTATTCTTAATTTCAGCTTGAACAAATAACATAGTTTTCTACTCCTTCTTCTATAAGAAGAGTCTCAATTTAGGCATTTGAGGTTTTAAGAAGCCCACTTATTTCCAATTTATAATTGCCATTTCAAATCTAATACAAAACTCTTCTCCTCCCACAGGCTTAGAACAAATTACAGCTTGGGGAGTAGCAGTGGGAAGAGGGCATGTTATACTCATTCATCTCCTTGTACAGTCTCCAGCTTTTAGTGCTCCAAGAGCTTTGTGAAAAGGTCATGAAGAATGAGACTGGTAGGTGATGTGAACATAGAGCAAGAGAGGCGTAACACTGGTCCTGTAATAATCTAGTTGGCCTTGTTGGTTTGAGTCTTAATTTCAAATATTTTCCCCTGTTGGGGTATGTGAATGATAGACCAGTAGAACTGTTGCAAATCCTCAAATGACTTTCTTCCTTTTAGCTCAGTGGACTCTTCGATGTGTTCAGAGTTCTCACAGTGAAGTGTTCTCTCTCAGTAATCTCTAAATGCTAGGTTACCATCTTCCTGCATCCAGTGTTGCATGTGAGCTTTCTTCTGTGTACTTAACTTGGTCGTTTTGAATGAGAGCTGTAGTTCACCTTATACTTAGAATTCAAGCATTTTACCAAGATATGCTCAGGTGTTGCTCTTTTCTCATCAGCCCATACTTGAAATAAAATGATGGGATTTTTTTTTTAAATGCATTTGAAAGAGTCTGAAAATATGCAGTTTTTTTTTAACTAATCAGCTCTTTACTTTATTCATGCAAACAAGAAACTTTTCTTTAAATGACCCAATCAAGTAACATGGGAGTTCAATAATGAATTATTGATATATGATGATGGTGGTAAGAGCACCATTTTAAATTAATCAGTCAACAAGATTGCATGATATTATATATAGATACACACATATATAGAGAGAAGACAATCACTTATGTTATTTCTATCTACATAAATGAGTCAATTGTAACTTTCCAAAATCTGTTTCCTTTTATATTGCTACTATTTCTCAGATGTCTTTCATTCCCTTTCTTCGTTTTCTCTGTTCTGAACTTTAGAATTTTAGGGCTTGACTTCTATAATATGGAAACTTTAGTTGCTCTCTTATACCAAGAATAATAACATCTTAAAATTTTAAGAGATTTTATATGTTTTTTTTTGAAACACACCTCTCATTTAGAATTCTACGGCCTCCAACTAGTATTTATCTTTATTTAAGTCAGAATAAAATTTGAATACACAAATTCATATAATAATTTCACCCAATTTCACTGGTCTTGTCTGTTATCCATAGCATACTGAAGGGATTGAAAATGCCATCTGATGAAATTATTGCATTTTTCCAACATAAATTACATTTTAATCCTCTTCTGTTCTTTTCTTTTTATTCCTAATCTACTTCTTATTTGAGGAATTTGAAGCTTTAGAAAGACACTTTATAAGCCAGGATAGGTTTCAGAATCAGAGGAAAATGATTTTATAAGTGAAAAAAGAAATGTTTTACAAATAAAGGGTATATGAGTACTCTCCTTAAACCCATACATAGACAAGTTATAGTTAGGATAAGATTTCAGTTAAAACTAGTCCTCATGCAAAGTACAGACATCTTTTTAGACCAGACACATTGTTACAACAAAAGAAACCCACTGCATAAAACATATTTTATAATATTCTTTGTTTAGAGAGTGTACTGAATTGTTATGATTAACAATCTGCTAGTAACTGTGCATGTTAGTGATACAAGGAGAATAACCTTTTCTCTAGAACCTAGATGATGTCCTCACCAAAATGTGGCAAAACACAGGTCACTTCTTATAAGAATTACATTATCAACCTTAAGTTCTATGAGCAACAATAATCTGTTATCCAAAAATTCTTTATTTAGATAAACTTGCTACCCTTGCATTAAGCCCAGTTCACTTTATTACAGAAAAGATCTTATATGTAAAAGCTTTTATCTCAATACCTATGTGGATTCATTTCTATAATTATAGAACTGGAAGGGATACTTAAGCTCAAAACAATTAACAGGTTTCTAAGGCAATATAAATATTAATGTTTGGAAGAAAATACTTGAAATTCATTATTTTTTTCTTTCTTTTATTTTTGTCAATCCTCTAAAGAATTCTCAGAAGCCACAGAGCTCCAAAGAGGGTTATTTGAAAACCACAGGTGGAATCTAAGCCTCATTTTACCAGTGAGGATACTAAAGGCCAGCATGGTTACTTAAACTACCCGAGGTCAGGCAACAAAAAAGGGCCTGATCAGATGCCTCCTCATCAAGGATATTATCAAAATATGCAGGCCCAGATGCTGTAAGTTTTCTCATGCTGTATTGAAGGGCACTAAATAAGTAACTTGCAGGTGGCATGGTTTGTGTAATTAGTATTAGGCTTCTCTGTATTTAGAGAATCATATAATGCCTATTTATGGTTACATAGACAACTCTGGACTTATTACCATTCAGCAAGCACTTGCCAATATTGCTTTTAGTGGTAACACAGGTGCAATTTTTCCTGCACATTCTTAGATACTCATTAATTCAATAATATATTCATAAGGCTGTTCTATTTGGGGACCTCTTGTTTTCACTTTCTTATTTTCATGGCAGAAACATATTACACCCATTCGTGAAATCACTTCACGGTTGTTTTAAACATAGGCAAGGAGTATGTGACAGAACTGTGGTAGGTGTAGGGGCATGAACATATCATATGTTGGAATTATGCATTGCCAAACATTTTCAGGAATACTCTCATATCTAGAAGCAAGATGATGCCTTTTTACATTATAATGTGGTCATTCTCACAGTAAGAATGGTTAATAGTGCAATGTACTGAAATATATTTAGAAACTAGACTTCAGCAGCAAAAGAGGGACTGGCATGGTAATGTGTATATATCATTGGTTATTCTCAGGAATAAAAGAAAATACTATTTAAATTACAGTAACATTCTAAAGCTTAAAGATCCTCTTCTCTGAGTAATAAAGTTATAGATTTAACTACTGTGCCATGCACTGTGAGGAGTGCAGAGAGAGGGGGTATATTTTCAGTATGTGTGTGTGTGCATGTGTGTGTGTGTGTATATATATATATATATATATATATACGTGTGTGTATGCATGTGTATATATATATGTGTGTGTGTGTGTATGTTTGTGTGTATGTGTGTGTATGTGTGTATGTATGTATGTATGTATTGAGAGAGAGAGAAAAGGCCAGAGAGAGAGAGAGAAGGGAGATTCTCATGGAAATTTTAAGAGCAGGCAAAATAATAATGTAGAGCCTCACAGAGAACTGTGAGTCCTAGACAGTGTAGGAAATCTAATAAATAACTTCAACATTAAAATAATCCACCTCTCTCTGTGTGCTTATTCACTTTCAGCCTCTTCCCAACCGACTTGCTTACCTCCACTCTGCTTTCTTGACTTCAGAGCTTCTACTCACTCCTGGTTTGGGACTCCTCTGAATCTGGGTTTGCTATAATAGCTCTTGCCCTCTCCTTTCCCCACTGACCCTTTATAACTCTCCTTTCAGCTACAGCCCACCCTGCTGCTTCTTATTTTCATTCATATCTATCTATATCTATATCAATCTATCAATCTATCCATCTGTCTATCTATCTGTCTATCTATCTATCATCTATCTTCACAGCATACAGCTTGTAAAATGGCTTACATTTCCAAGCACTTTCAAATAAATGACTGTCTTTTCTCTCAAATTTCACAGATATACTATGATTTACTGTTATAAAGTATTTCACTTTTTTACTTTGTTTTATTTCTTTTAAGTCTGAAATTTCAGTGGGCTCATTTATCCTTTTTTTTTTTTTTTTTTGTAAACATAGTGGAAAGAAATCCTACTCCAATCTAATCATTTAAACATGGCACACAATTGTAATTTCATGTGTCTTGTTATATTTGTATGACTTTAAATGAACAAGATAATTTTAAAATTATAAAGGAAACTACCATAATTCTATTTTTTTAAATTTATCTCAGTTAAAAATATACATAATTTTTGTAGATCTCAGTGTATAAAACTATCCCATTCATTTATTAAACATAATTAGGAATTTTAAAATAAATCGACTGAATGTTTTTAGTTTAAATTAGGCTCATTTTTAGGATTATAAATATATGAATGAATGAGCATTTCTGACTATTGTACTGTTTAAGGAGAGGTTTTCTCTAAGTGCATGATAGGGAGAGGCAGAAAAAAAGAAGGAAAATAAAAAGAAATGTCTGAGCCAGGAAGCTAACCTGATCCTAGTGGTTTTATGGAAGCTTAAGACTCTCAAAACCCGTATTCCAAAAAATAATAATAACAACAATAAAGTTACAGTTAGAAGTTAGAATAGTTTTGGGGTGCTGTGGAATGCCATGTGACTAGTGACAGCATGAAGAATTGGGCTGCTGGATTTTGGCTTCTTAAGATATTGTGTAATTTGTATTTTCCGTGGTCAAGTAGATCACTGATCACTTAGAGATCACTTTCAAAATGAGAAGAAACCTCTGGATTCTCTGCCCAGAAAAATGCACATGCAAATTATCATGTCCCCTGGACAACAGAGGTCCAGGGAATTCACATTCATGGATCAAAGATGAGGGAGACTTACACTAGAAGCATCACAGTCATAGTATGGGAGAAAGAAATATTAAAATGCATAACTAAAATTGCATTAAAATGCTAAATTTATTTCATATTAGAAAATTATATGATCTATATTGAAAAGTACAGATCATTTTGCCTCAAACTACCCGAAGATAGTTGTAATAGAAAAGTACATTTTCTTACAGTTATCTTCTTAAATGAATGTTTTATCTTACGATGAGATAATTTTACTACCAAACTGTAATTCATTACCTTTCAGTGTAATTCTCATTTTCAGATTTCATTTTAAGCGTAAAACAAATTCTATGTCAATTATAGTACAGTTAGAATGTATTGCATCCAGAGATTTATTTTCCCCTGATATCAATCATAACAGTTGGTCTGCAGGAGCAAGAATGAGAGGAGGTACACTATGAATAATAGGAGGCTTTTCTGTCTATTGCTGATTGACCCTAAACTTCTTATCTAAGTAGTAAAATCAGGAAATGTAGCTCATTATAAAGAATATACACAAAGGTGAGGAAACTTGACTGTGGAATGTCTATTATATTTTAAATTAACTTATTGCAGTCACTCAAACGTCTCCTTCCAATTTAAGTGACTTTCTAAACATTATTCATCAAAATATCAGTACTCCCATTGCTCTCTACTCTCCTCTGCAAGAAAATGCCTTAACTTATCCTCTAAAGTAGGACAACTTTACCATAGTCCAGAATCTCCATATTTATACATTATATATATTATTTATTTATGATTCTTTGGAAATTAAAAATAACTGTACAATATTATAACAAAATAAATACTAACATATATTGGTAACCAGAGTGACTCTTCTTAGAATATCAGATTTTTCACTACCTGACCCTCAACCAATCTGGAAAATATCTACCCTCTCTTGCTTTTTAATCCCCATTTGCCTCCACTGATCATGCAGTTTTCAGAGATAAAAAGAAGAAACTGTAGGGAATAATGTTAACCCGAAAACTACACGTTTCTCCAAACCCAACTTGACTTTTGTCATCTGGTAAATACTTAGAGATCAGGAATGAGCAGGATGCCTAATATCTGGTCTCCTTCCCAGTCCTAGCGGTTGACCATACCCACAGCAGTCTAGACTGGGTCCTCTTGCCTCTTTCCAAGACTTTGAAGCTTCCAGACCCATAAAGGCTATGATTGATTTGTAAGTAGGGGGAGCAGATGTTTCAAGTGCCCTGAAATTGGCCCCTGGCACATGGCAAACCATAAGCCCTCCCAGAGCAGAGTGGAAACTCTCTGGACTCTTGTCACTGGAATTTAGCATTTCCCTTTTAATTTTTACATCTCAGCCCTAGAAAGCCAACATCAAACTCCTCTTTTCCAAAAAGCAACAGAACTTCGTTTACATTCACCCAAGTGCAAAGATTAACAAATTCTGTGCAACATACATGAATATTCATGAATATACAAGTATACTGAAATATAAAGTGAAACATTAAAATATCTAAATATTTCTGGGTATACAGATGTTTACCCATGTGTAGAACAAAATGTACAGATATTTGACTAAAGTATCTTTTATCCTGTTGGTAGACTGTATTTTTGCCTAAACACCTGTGTGGAAATCTGTTTAAGTGCTTTTCCTTTGAAGCACATTTCTGCCACTGCTGTTTGGCTCATTCATCTGTTATTTATGTTACAACTCAAATGTCAGAATCACTTGAAATCTAGACCAAGACAATGATTCCTCAATTTATTTTTTTAGATAACTCAGTATCTGTAAATCACATTAGCTAATTAAGTTCATCAAGTGTTACTTTAAAATAATTCAAAAATCAAATCACAAGCAATAACAGGCTTTTAATTTCAAGGAGAAAAAAGCTTATTTTTTAGAAATAGTCAATTTGCTTTCATAAATTAAAAATTCGATGTGTAAATACACTAGTGGACATCTAATATGCTGGGGAGACATATAAGTTGACAGTGAATATGCTATTTGCAAATGTGTCTCTCTTCTCTCCCTAATGAAATTCAGCTCCCTGAAGTCAGAAATCAAAGCTGGATTATACTTTATAAGCCCCATGCTGCCTGATGCGATTGCTTGTGCCGTCATTCTCAATAAATATTGATTGATGAACATAGCCTCTTACAATGTGAACAGGCTAAAAATGTTTAACTGAATTTTTTCATTAGCCAGAAATTCTTCTACAACATATATATGTGTGGGCTCCTAAAAAGCAGCATTACTCCTCTGTAGCACCAATTGATACAACAAACTGTAAGTGATAAATCTTGGCTTCATGCTCGATTTTTTTCTGTAAGTGAACTTGTGGTAACGAGCCGCAGTGCAAGGAGGTCCGATATTTTGTACTGTGATATATTCAGAGGAAAAGAAGTACATGTCTTTAGATGACATTACCCTTCATAAAGTCAACTGGAAAACAGAATTAAAACTGGTCATTCCTTTGGGAACAAGATGAGAATCTTAAAAGTTGTCTTTTTGTTATGGAAAAGCTCCTTTAAACTTTAGGTGTAAAGGAAGAAACAATATTTTCCTCAGCTTAATTTTTAATATTTGGTAAGAAATTATTCTAATTTATAGATCACAGAAGTTATCTCCTTTAGTTATCGAGAAGAAACCTTTCACTTGGATTTATCAGGCCCACGTACATGATTGCACATCAAAATGTGAGGGATGAGGAGAAACCCTTGTAAAATCCTGCCGGCTATGTGTCCCAATTAGACTGTATTAGGGAACTTTCCTTAATTTAGATTGGGTTAGGACATCATTTCCCAAAATATTATTTGGAACACTTATTTCACAGAGTGTTCTATTGGAAAAGAAAGAGTGAGAGGGCCCCTGTACTCAATTAAGTTTACAAAATGCTTTCTTCAGTGTTCCCCTTTCATAGAGTCACATCCCTAATTACCATTTAAAGACTCTGAGGAGTGCTGCAGTGAAGAAGCTAAACTTTTTCAATCCAATGTTTGCATATTTATTTGGCCAAGTAGTCCTTGTTCAGGAAGTTATCTAATTTCATCTCAACATACTTTAGAGATTGTTATATTAGAGCAATATTTCAGCTTTTGTAAAGTGAGTTAGTTCTTAAAACAGTAGCATTTCCCTCATTCTGAAATTTCTGGATCCTCAGATATTTTCTTAGACTGCTAAAATGTAATTGCTCATGTTTTCATATCATATTCCATATCATTAAATACCATAATTTATAATTACATTAAACCAGGAGTTTATCTCATGTTTAGAACATAGCCTCAGGTAACAAAACTGATATTGGAATATTATTTGCTTTGCATATATTTGTGATGGTACCCTTACTCCCTGCAATCATGTTTACTGCCATGTTTTATTTCACTATTAAATAGCAACCAGCTTATGTGGTGTTTGGTAGTGAATAAGTCTGCTGCTGTCAGTGTGAGAAATAAAAACAGAATGGCCAGCACAAATATTTAGCATTGAGACTCATTTCCTTTTAATCATACATGCTCACCAACAAAGACCTATTCACACATTTACTATCACATAAAATGTAAATGTGTTTCCCTTTTTATTAACTGAAAATCTGAGCTTCCAGAGCCGAAATCCCACATTGATAGTTGATGGAACAAAGGTTCTAAATCTGATTTGTATAAAATTCACATGATATTTTATTGTCACCCCTAGGAGTGGCCTGGCCTAGACTGTAGTCATGACTATATAATTTTTGTCAGAAAGCGAAGATGAAAATTGATAATGAAAATGATCATTTTTGACAGTTATCCTCCAGATTTATTTATCCTAATTTATTGATTGTAAGCATCTTCTAACTATAAAAAGAACTCCCCAAATTTTACAAGTTTAATGTTGAAAAAGTTAGTGGATCTTCTACAGTGTAATAGTTGTACTTTGTATTAGTTGAAAGGTCACATCCAAATTTAGTATTAAAAAAAATAACTTTGCAAAACTTTGACCCCTCCCACACATAAAAAATACAATCACTTAGAGTGTGCAGCCCATAGATTGGGAACTACTGAAATGGAGCACAGATCTACAGGCCACACATACTATTTTGTTCGTGTGTTAGAGCAGCAAGTTTTTGAGAATATTATTGGTTGTGCCCACAGTTATTGCTTCATCACAAGCTGATCAAGAGAAGTCATGTTTCTTTCTACTGAAGCAGGAGCCTAGGGAGACCAGCTTTTTAGAACCTAACCATGAACTTTCAAAGCATATCATTATACTTTTGATTAGCAACACAATAGAACTGCCATTCAACTTCTGCCAGAGATTATAAACCCACTCAGCTGCCCAATTTCTATCAAAGCTTACTTGTGAGAAATAGTGTTTATTGAAGATTGCCTGTAAGATATACTTGCCTTTAGAGCATCAATTCATTCATGCATTACCTTTCCTAGAGTATTTTTCATGGAACACAGGTTCTGGTTGGTTCTCTATTATATGTGTATATATATATATCTCCACATAAAATATGCTATTGTATTTATTATATGGTACCTACATAGTCTATTTTAAACACAGCTGCCAGAATGATCCCGTTTAAACTGTAATCCAGATCATGTCAGTCCTGTTCTTAAAGTCCAGCACTGGCTCTCTGCTTCATGCTGAGTGAAAGCTATAGAATTTATAATGGCCTTCAAGGCCCTGTATGATTTTGCCCACCCAGCAACTTCTCTTTGACCTCATGTGCCGTGGTCTTCCCTTTTTTCCCTCTGGTCACTCTAACCTTTTCACTGTACCCATGCGCAAGTCAGGCTTGCTCTCTCCTTAGGGTCTTTGAGCGAACCCTCAGTGTGAAAGCCTCCCCACAAGTCTCCATTTCAGCACTTCAGCCTTTTCAAATCTTTGTTCAAATGTCATTCTTTCAAATGAGGCCTTTCCAACAACCCTACTTAAAACATCTTGCTCCCCTTGCCAGCACTCCTCATTCCCCTTGCCCTGTAGTACTGTCTCTTTCCTTCCTTCCTTCCTTCCTCCATCTCTTTTTTTCTCTTTCTTTCTTTCTCTCTCTCTCTTCCTTCTTTCTCTTTTCTTTCTTTCTTTTTCTTTCTTCCCTTCTTTCCTTCTTTCACACTCATCACCTTCTAAACCACCTTACAAGAAGCTTAATTATTGCTGTTGTTTATTATCTATTACATTCTCCCCTACTAGAATGTACAATCCATTTTTTTATTGGATGTTTTATTCATTGACTATCATTAGAGATAAGAAAAATCCCTGGCAATAGTAAGCACTCAGTGAATAATTGTTGGCTTAATCAACGAATGAAAGTTTATTGTAAAGCTATTGTTGCAACATAGGATATATAATGCTCACTTTCTTGGGATCTCATAAGGAAAATTTCTCTCAAGTTTCTCTTTATCCATACAAGTCTCACTTCTAAGCTGTGGACTAACTTCAGTCTGGGCCAGGGAAAAAAGGCAGGGAAGAAAGTGATAAACTGAACACTACTTCAATTGTATTATAAATTCTGATTTCTACTCCCCAGTCTGCATGATGCTCTTTACTTTTTAGTGTCTTCAAATAACTGCTTCATGCACTCAGTGGGTAAAACATTGCAGAGTGTGCTCATTTCATCTTACCCTGAACGAGATACCTCATTGGAATTCTTCTACTCTTTACCTCATGAAGATTAAGCCTTTAATCTTAAAATTTGTTCTCAAATGTACATAATGTCTATCAAAAATAAATTTATGTATAGGAAGAAAAATTGATCATTTTCATGCAGGAAATTTGTTAAAATGCTTAGAATAATTTATCTGTAACTGAATTTCGAGTTTTGTTAATGGAGGCATTCTGCTTTTTGTTGAAATGTTACAAATGTGGACTTTTGTGCTTGTGCTATAAAACCCATCCCTATAAGCTAGTCATGTTTTTATTGATCTAAGGATCAATATGTTTATTGCTTCTGAAATATTTCACTTTATTTCACCACATTATTGCAGTCATACATAATTGTGATAGTTAATAATTGGTTAGTTGAGTGTAAAATTCCCCCTGCACCAATTAGATGCAATTTTTTCCTATGTTGCTTTAAAAATATACATTAGAAAAATATTTAACACTCTTATTTGTAACTGCTCCAAAAGGTTCAGGGCTCATGATTTTTTTAAAATAAATCTTTCTTAGAATTGGGCAGTTTTTGCTACTTGTCTCAATATGAGTAGAAAGAGACAGATTACTAGATTAAGGACAAGAGAATAGGTACTATAAGCCCAGGTGGAGAAGCAGGTTGTATGGTGCAGATTAGCTCAAACAGAAAATACATTAATAGGGGGTTTTAAGGTGAGTACTTTCTGAGCCCTGGGGATCATCACAGAGAGCTGTGAAGCCAAGCAAGGGCCTGAAAAGTACAGGGAAATATTTGGCGAGAAGGGACAAGATATTAAACACAAATTCTAAACTTTACATTTCATCGACTAGTCTTGATAGTGATGAAATGTTTTCTGAAACAGAAGATTCTTAATTATTTATTTTTCTAAATGAAATCAGAACCAAGCCTTGAGTCCGTTGAAAAGGAAAAACATATACCTAGCTAGAATTTAGGAGCACAGAGGCAGGGAGCCAAGAATTTCTAACAGAAGCATTTAAGCATATTTAATATCTTATTGTAGAGCTAAGATTTACTTTGTTATTAGAAATTTTCTATGAATATGGCTGCCAGTGAATGCAGACTTAACTTTGTTGTGAATCTAATATCGTATTGCATTCTACCTAACCCATAACTTAACCCATAAGTACATATTTTGCTTGTACTTGGCAGAGTCTACTTTCTATTGCATTTTATATTCTATTCTTAGTCTTGTTATATAATTAAGAATAGTAGAAGTATCAAGAAACAAGACTATATAATCTCATGAAACTCTTAATTGACTTACCTATTAACTTTTCCAATTTCCCTGCAGAAATTGTTTCTATCGATATTTTAATTTCATGTGAGCCGAATGACAGGAAGTAAAGAGATTTCAGCAGATGGTTACCACAAACTACATACTACATTTCAGAACTGGTCTACAAAATTCTGCAGCTTGGCAGTGTGTGGTGGATCATTTTACTGCCTGTTAATGCCAAAAGAAATCTGGCTGAAATGTGTGTGTTGTTCCATTTAATTTCTTCTCTGACTTTATTAAGAGCTACCAGACTTGATTTACTTGTGTTGTAAATACAGGGGGCAAGTGATGTGGTAACTAAGAGTATGCCCTTATATTTTTAACCTAAATCAATATTTTCTATTCTTAACAATCTCATCCAATAACTCCCTGTGAAGTAGAAGGCAATGTTATCTGCTGATTGTGAAGGCAGAGAAACTGGGCTGGAAACCGGGAAAGATGTGTAAAATGTTTAAACATTGTGGACAATAGAAGAAACTAGGCAAACACAAAAACATTTGAAGAACAGACGTTGTTGAAGTGACACCAGTTGAGGTTGTAGTGGCACCATTGATACTGAAGTGCATTGTTCTGCAGCATTGTCTGTCCCTCTCACTGACCACAGCAATCTAAGTATGGATACTAAGCAACAGAGATTTGGATTGACTCAGAGTGGGTTTATGTCAGGCTTGTTTGATGTAGGAATGAGGAGCCCAGAGAACTGAAGGCATTGTCAAGGGCACAGATTGAGTTATAGATCAAAGGGTCAAAGCTCAACAGAGCAGAGAATAAAGACAGAAGACAGGAGGGCTACAGCAAAAAATAAGACATTAGGTGAAATAGAGTATTTTATGTAAGATCAGGTTCTGTAAAGTAAGAATATTTAAGACAGAGTTGGCACAATTCTGTAAACAAGGCTCATGGTGTTCAAAAGTAAATATTTAAGAAGTGAAACAATTCCGAGTGATGCAAATTCAAGGGTGTGATGATTACAATGGATCACTGAAGTGGAATACAGAGAAATATCACTGTTGGTGAGAGGAAAATTATTATATCAATGAATAGTTTGTTAGAATAAACCAAATTTTACAATCACAAATGAATGAAATTACATCCAGGCAGCTTACAGACAACAGCATGAAGGGTGGCCAAATGGCTTTCTCTTCAAGGGTGTGGGCATTTTTATCCCCAAAACAGGAAAGTAATTATATGGAAGCAACATTGATGAGGAGAGGGGAACCTACTCCTCTTCTTCTTGACCCTGACAGATACAGGATATGCAGAAACAGCATGTACTAACTGGACTGCAAAGAAGCCAGGCTTCAGTTAAGAAAATGGAAATTGTGTCCACAAAGAAATTAAGAATAGAAGGGATATTGTTCTGTGTGTCTTCTGTTAAACGATAGAATGGGAGTACAGAGAACAGAGGGAAATGGTTTTGATGTCAATAGAGAAATCAGTTGCTGGATTAGAGACTAGGTCAATCAGAACTTTATGATTGAGAATAGGGGATAAAAGTGAATTATAATAATGATGATTATAGGGCAAAATTCACCCCTGATATTTCATGTAGGTTCTTTTCTATTTTCCCTAAGTGTTGGCCAGTCTGAGAAATAAAGGGACAGAGTACAAAAGAGAGAAAATTTTAAAGCTGGGTGTCCGGGGAAACATCACATGTCAGCAGGTTCCATGATGCTCCCTGAGCAGTAAAACCAGCAAGTTTTTATTAGTGATTTTCAAAAGGGGAGGGAGTGTATGAATAGGGTGTTGGTCACAGAGATCACATGTCTCACAAGGTAATAAGATATCACAAGGTAAATGGAGGCAGGGTGAGATCACAGGACCATAGGACTGGGGCAAAATTAGAATTGCTAATGAAGTTTCAGGCACACATTGTCATTGATAACATCTTATCAGGAGACAGGGTTTGAGAGCAGACAACCAGTCTGACCAAAAATTATTAGGCAGGAATTTCCTCGTCCTAATGAGCCTGGGAGCACTACGGGAGACCGGGGCTTATTTCGTCCCACAGCTATGACCGTAAAAGACAGCCACCCCCAAAGCAGCCATTTTAGAGACCTCCCCTCAGGGACGCATTCTCTTTCTCAGGGTTGTTCCTTGCTGAGAAAAAGAATTCAGCAATATTTCTCCCATTTACTTTTGAAAGAAGAGAAATATGGCTCTGTTCCACCTGGCTCACCGGCAGTCAAGAGTTTAAGGTTATCTCCCTTGTTCCCTGAACATTGCTGTTATCCTGTTCTTTTATCAAGGTGCCCAGATTTCATATTGTTCAAACACACATGCTCTACAATTTGTGCAGTTAACGCAACCATCACAGGGTCCTGAGGTGACATACATCCTCCTCAGCTAACAAAGATGACAGGATTAAGAGATTAAAGTAAGGACAGGCATAGGAAACCACAAGGGTATTGATTGGGGAAGTGATAAGTGTCCATGAAATCTTCACAATTTATGTTCAGAGATTGCAGTAAAGAAAGGTGTAAGAAATTATAAAAGTATTAATTTGGGGAACTAATAAATGTTCATGAAATCTTCACAATTTATATTCTTCTGCCACGGCTTCAGCTGGTTCCTCCGTTCGGGGTCCCTGACTTCCCACAACAGATGATGATGATGATGATGATGATGATGATGATGATGAAAACCAATAACTATGGAATGTTTGCTATGCATAAGGTGCTATTCTAAGCGACTTAACTCAGACCTTAAAAAAATCAAATGAGATATTATTTGTTTGCATTTTAAAACGTGTTTAAGGCACAGATACTTTTTGTGTTTTGGGTCTGGGTCACATAGCTTGGTATGTGGAGAAGCCAGAAAGATTGGTGGAGTTTAACTTTGTTCAGTGGCCAAGAATATAGGGGTGTGCAGAGAATGGAGAATTTACCTGGTCTCATTTTTTAAACACTAGACTGATTAACCCCTTGTGGCCTTTTCTCTGTGTATAGGTGAAGAGGGAGGGAAGGGAGATTGGTGGTGTTCTGTGATTTGTTTCCTGAGTGCTCACTGTGGCTCTGACAGTGGCTGTAATGGTTAGTATCCTGGAGAAGTAAAAAAAGATGTACTGGCTGAAGGTGTTTGAGATGACCTAATGAAGCACTACAACTGTGTCTCATGAAATCAAAGAGAAAAAAATGTTTTGTCTTCAATTTTGTCAGTGAATCATGAGATGTTTATCAGTTTACCCCCTATGATGTCTTTTAAGTGTGCTAGTTGATGGTGCACAGAAAAACCAAGTCAATAACATTGGTTCACAAGAATCAGAATTACATATGCTGGAAAATAATTACATATACTGGTGTGCTATGCTTTGAACATAAAGAGTGTCTGTTTTTTTGTTTTTGTTTTTTTTTGACAAGGAGTCTTGCTCTGTTGCCAGGCTGGAGTGCAGTGGTGCAATCTCGGCTCACTGCAGCCTGTGCCTCCCGGGTTCAAGTGATTCTCCTGCCTCAGCCTCCCCGAATAGCTGGGAATACAGACGCACACCACCACGCCCAGCTAATTTTTGTATTTTCAGTAGAGATGGGGTTTCACCATGTTGGCCAGGATGATCTCAATACGTATGAGATCTATAGCTAGACTTCTTGCATTCAAATTCTTGCTCCTTTGCTTACTAGCTGTAGCTATGGGCAAAGTTAACTTATTTGTGTCTCAGCTTCATAATCTAAAATTGAATAAGAAGAAAATGAGATAATTATAGTGCTGACCTCATAGGATCTTTCTGAGCATTGAAATACATGATTGGCACTTAAAAATACTTAGTAAATGCCAGTGGTTACATTCTCTCTCTCTGTCTGTCTACCTCTCTCTCTGTCTATATATGTATACATACATATGTGTATATATACACATATATGTATACATACATATGTGTACATATACACATATATGCATACATACATACGTGTATATACACATGTATGCATACATACATACGTGTATATACACACATGTATACATACATACATACGTGTATATATACACATGTATACATACATATGTGTATATATACACATGTATACATACATACATATGTGTATATATACACATGTATACATACATACATATGTGTATATATACACATATGTATATATACACATATGTATACATACACATACGTATGTGTATATATACACGTATATGTATACATACACATACGTATGTGTATATATACACGTATATGTATACATATATATGTATACATACATATGTGTATATATACACGTATATGTATACATATATATGTATACATACATACGTATGAGTATATTTACACGTATATGTATACATATATATGTATACATACATACGTATGTGTATATATACACATATGTATACATATATATGTATACATACAAACGTATGTGTATATACACATATGTATACATACATACACACGTATGTGTATATACATATGTATACATATATACACATATGTGTATATATACATATATGTATGCATACATACACACGTATATGTGTATACATACATATATGTATACATACATGTATGTATATATGTATGTGTGTATACATACATATGTATGTCTATATATGTATACACATACATATGTATGCGTATATATACATATATATGTATACACATACATATGTATGTGTATACATATATATGTATGCACACATATGTATGTGTATATATACATATATACACATATGTATGTGTATATACACATGCATATGTATACATACATATGCATGTGTATATACACATGCGTATGTATACATACATATGCATGTGTATATACACATATGTATGTATACATACATATGCATGTGTATATACACATATGTATGTATACATAAGTATGCATGTGTATATACACATATGTATGTATACATAAGTATGTATGTGTATATACACATATGTATGTATACATAAGTATGTATGTGTATATATACATATATATGTATACATAAGTATGTATGTGTATATATACATAAATATGTCTACATACGTATGTATGTGTATATATACATATATATGTATACATACGTATGTATGTGTATATATTCATATATATTATGCATACATACATACGCATGTGTATATACACATACGTATACATACATACATACGTATATATGTATGCATGCATACATACGTATATATGTATGCATGCATACATACGTATATATGTATGCATGCATACATACGTATATATGTATGCATACATATGTATATCTATCTATACATATATGTATATATGTATGTATATGTATATATATGTGTATATGTAGACACACGCACATTTCTATGCAGGCATACACACAGAGACACACACATTCACACACATCCCTATTGACTGAGTTATCAGACTGTAGAAAAAACCAAGACAGTCCCAGACCTTGGCAGGTGCTTCTGGAAACAATGACATACTACTGAAGCATATTTCTCAGTGTTATGCCTTGTGGCACTCTGAGATGCCTGTGGAGCCTCCCTCTGCCAGAATATTTCTCTGTTACTATTTGACAGACCTTGATTTTGTGGCAACATTGTCCTGATGTCTTGTTTATTCACTTGTCATGTTTGTATCACCATCTGTTTCCTTTTCTGGTCTCTTTTTTTCAGTCTAGAAACTTGTCATAGGTCTTCTTTAAGTTACTTACAGCTTTCTCTTCTCTCTGCTAGCTGCAAAGTTAACTGTGATATCTTGTTTAGGTTTATTTGCCTGGGGCCCATGCCCTTCCCCTCACTCTTTCTGAGTCAGCCTTTAAATTTGTTCTCTCTCAAGCTGCACTTGTATCTTCTAAGTAGGCAGAGAGGTCGTGGCACTATCTCTCTCCAACAGTGTCAGCAAATTGTTTTGATTTCTAGAGCATGGGTGGGTCATGTGCTTTTTATTTTCCCGCAGAAAAATGAATTTCATGAATATGAAAAGAGATCTTCATTTTTTATATTTTTACAACTTTGTTTCAGAGAGCTATACTTAATTGTTCTAGTAGCCTGCTTTTTCAGTCTGTGGCTGAAGGGAGCAGCTATGTCAAAATGCTAGCAATATAAAGTCTTACACAATTTAAAAAAATATAGCGATTTTCCTAAATTTCAATTTACCTTTTTCAGTTTAGATGGTTCTGAGTCAGCATGTATATCACTGCATGTAACAAGCAGAGATGGGGGAAATTTCAAAAATGCTGGCCATTCCAATCCTTATTTTTCTAGTGCTTATCAAGGACTAACTATAATTTTTACAAGTCTTGTAAGTTTTTGAAAACTCACACAAGATCGTTTGGGGTTAGAATGTATAAAGTCTTGGATGGCATCATTTAAGACAGAATTTCTTCATATTTAAAACAGAAATGATAATTGCTTCTCTACTTTTCACTGGGTCATTATAAATCTCCAGTTACCTAATATATAAGAAAGTGATTTGAAAACACTAGATAAATATAAGATTTCATTATAAATAAATTACATAACATTTTGGGGAATTCTCTAATTTGGGCCAAATATGAACAGGTATTTTTTTAACTCTGAGTTATTTTAACTTTGAGTAAGTATAATTAATATATTTAAAATGTTTACAAATATAACAAAAAGAGTAAGTTCTAAGGCATATGATTCAGAATATACAAAGAAACCATATTACAGGAACAGAGCTCCCCAAGACAGAATGTGAATGGAGAAGACAATAGAATATACACAGAGATAATGTGTGTTGTGAGTTGAAGTGTGGTAAAATGATTAGTAGGAATACTAAACTGTTTTACCCGTTTATTTTGTTTAACTTTATTAATGGCAGTTGCAAGTCATGGCAACATTTTGAGAACATGTGTAATGCACTTGACACATTAGGCTATGATAATCATGCAATCTTCATAGTTCTATTTCAAGTATGTAATGATATCCAGGTGGAAAATTGTACTTGGCTTGAAGCTACAGTGAGTGGAGTAAGGGAAGATAGATGTGAGTCATAGGATAATCCATGAGCTTATGTTAGGTTTGGGCAAATGTAATTGCAGTTTTGGCCATTGAAAATGATTGCAAAAAACCAACAATTACTTTTGCACTAACCTAATAAAAACACATCTGTATGGTACTTATTAGTTTTGAATTTATGTTCAGTGCACTCAGTGAAAAGTTCTAAATGTCCAAACTGGGAAACTAAAAAATTATCATGACAAGATTATAGAAAAAAGATTAGGTGGAAGATCCAAAAATGTTTTGTGATTCCAGTGTTCAATGTGTCAGTGGTGCATTGACACTAAAGCCATTGTCCCCAGATAAATTGTCCTTATTGTGATGCTTCTGACCTGTGTAGCTCCCAGTCTGCCTTTTCAATGTAGTTTTTAACTGAAAAGTTCTCCTAACCCACCCTTTAAAAACAATTAGTTTTATATAATTTCTTGAAAGTAAAAAATGGAACAAAGTGTTCTGCTATGTATGCTTATGCTTAGTTGTAAATAAAAATGAATTGGAAAATATTTATGCAATCTTACAAATTTTGCCTTAGTCATTATCATCAAATAAATACAGTGTCACTGATGGAGGTTACATCATTATTCTCCAGTGCAAACTTTTTAGTATAATTTCAGAATTCTGATCAACAGTTTAGCTCTTGGTCTAAGGAGTGGCTTTCTTTGATTGTACAGATAATGTTTAACTGAATTTAAACTGAAAAAATTGTAACTACAGAACCTCTCTAATGTGTCCTTTGAACTTGTCTGACAGCATGCCAACTAAAAAAAAATCTCAACAAGAGAATGAGGGATTGCTTATGGAGACACTGATGTCACTTGAGGTTAAATTATGCACCTTAACCATGGCCATAAATGGCTCTGTCAAGGTCACTTTATGGCCACTAACCCAAGATCAGTGGCTCCTGTGAGTGTTCAGTAATTTACACTGTACACTGATTTTTCTAATTCTGTCTTTGAATTCGTTAAAGTACCTTTACTGTGTGTCTAATAGATTTAAAGGAACTGCATGAGTAAGCAATCACACATGTTAGCATTCCAAGGTGTTATACAAATGCCTTAAATTATTGACCATATGTTAGGAGGCATAATCTTAAGCATCTTAAGAAATGTTTATGATAATGAAGGTAGCAATGATACTAGAATTTCTGGTACAATACTAGTAGATAAAGCTTTTAAAAATTAAAATGTACTTGTTGAATGTCAATTTAAAATGATTGGTAGATTGATAAGTATAAATTGTCCAGTTACTTTCCCATGCCCAATATATTTTAGCACCACTTTACAGTCACATGAAGAATTTCTTCTCCAAAGAGAATTTACTTCCTTTTTGCACATGGAGCCATTTGTCAATCTCAAGTCTACCTTTTTAGAGCAGCAAAGACACCTTTTCTCTAGTAATTGTCTTGGTGTGACAAATCTGCACCTTATACAGGTTCATTGACATCACACAAAGTTTCTTTCTTACTCATTCTTACCCATTTTTGAAATATTGAAAGTATTTATAGAACCATAGAATGTTCTATCTATTTCTGCATAGAACAGAACAGATATAACATGAAATTTGCAGCCAATCTCCATTCCATCTCATGCCTCATGCTTCCCTGGAAGGAAAAATATAAAAGTCATACAGCTTAGCTCTCAGCATTTATGTATGCCTGAGATATTTGTTACTTCCATCATCCCAAATTTGTACATACATTTCCTAATTATGAAAATACTAGTAGTGAGATTCTCATTTACTGTAAACATCACAGAATTTAGTACATTTCATATTTACGTTTATTAATATGTATACATAAAGAAATACAACCACACAAAAGATATGGCAATGGAACTCAGATTCTTCTCCTTCTCTGACTTGGCATTCAGCCTCACCTTAAGGAAAATGAGCTTCAGGAAAATATCACTTAAATTCCTCAGGAGATACCTCGTTTTATGCATTGTAAGTCTTGTAAAGACAAATAATCCAACTCCAGGGAAGACAATAACTTCAAAACTAGCATAGTTGAAATAAATCCATCAAGATAAGAGAATTACATGGAAAATATACATTTTCATAGCCCTCAAAATGAAGTATATTTACACAGAATCCAGAAGCATATCAACATCATTGATTCATCAGGGAAACATAAGGAAGCTCTATCTATATGAAAAAAAATCTGGAATTAAAAGTCTTGGAACATCTGGAATGTTAACTTTTAGTGAGCATTTCAACATTCTACTATCTTAATTGAGGAAATTCATTTCCTAGCATCTGTTCAGAAGGAAGTTGGTGATATCAGTAGTGATTACTATACGATCATTTACACCAAAGTAATATATTGAATTTTCAGCATCAGCACTTACTGTTAAATAGCAAGCCATTCAAGTCTTGGAGCTGTACTGTATCCAAGGAAAGAAAATTAAGATGCAACAAAATAGCATTTTCACACAGAGAGTCTTTTCCTACAGTATATCAGCTGTCACCCAATAAACTTGCCAAAGAGTGCTATTCCCAAACATACAGGAATTTTTAGTCATGCAATCCCCCACCTTCCTGTTGATTCTGTTACTAGGCTTTTTTGAAAGAAATAACAACAACCAGCTTTCAGAACTATCAGCTGTAATGAAACACCACATTTTGATTTTGAATATTGTGATAATAAACTTTTTACTGACTCAATAAAAAATTTCATTTTCAACAATTGAACTAGTGATAGCTAATATTGCCAATTTCTATTTCCAGTTTAAAACATGAGGTAAAAGAATGGGAGATAAAATAATTTATGGATGTTTTTGTTTTTAGGAAGATATATTTAGATCTATAAAATATTTATTCCTGATAATATAAATAAATTGCTGTTGATATGCATTATTCTTTTAAAATTTTGTCCAGATACTTTTATACAAATACACAAAAACAATACTATCTATAAACATAAATCTATAAATAAAATTACAATGGATAGTAAATTTAATGGATTTAGATAAAATTTCTAGTATGTCATGTATAAAAATACATTACCAACGTATTTTCCAATGTAAGAGGTAACAGGAATTTGGGGGCAAAACTTTTTGAAAAAAATAGTATATTGTTCCTGTAAACAGAGATGGATAGCCTTTAAGTTATAGCATATATGTAAAACCATATAATTGTGAAATATGTCCTGTAGCTGAAGATAAGACTGATTTCATCTCTCTTGAGACAATGTCTCTAATAAGGGAAGGTCATTCTGTTTGTTCACCATAAAAAGCATGCAACATGTAATAAAACAAGTATAGAAGTATTAGTCACCATGACTTTAGAATGCAGGAGGCTAATAAACCTCCCTATCTTTTCCTTCTGAGTTCAAAGCAGATTGAGAATCAAGTCACAAGTCAAAATAATACCAGGTTCATTTAAGATAAATTGAGTAGCTTTAAATATTCAGTCAAAAGAGGTTAATTATTCTCACCCCTACTTAAACATAATTACCACTATTCAGTGGGACAGGATGACAATCACAGCCTCTTCCATGGGGCCTGGTCCTGGATGTTTATAGCATGGGGAAGATGAGAACGATCTTTTGGAGGAAGGTTAGCTCCCAAAAGAGGGAAGGAAGAAGAGATTGAGCTGAATAGTCGAGTTTCTTCTTGTATATCAGCTAAGTTGCAGGTAGCTCCCATGGGTGGATGGAGAGAACTGAAGTATTCCGCTCGCATAACACGTGGAAATCTGAAAAGTGGGGCATAAAGGCTTTATCACATTGTTATTCTCACCATCAGCACTATCACCAAAGCCACTGATTTGTAAGGGTTTGGAATATATGAGGTATAAGCTAGGTGAAGAGGCATGTGCGTATAGTTCCAGCTACATGGGAGGCTGAGGTGGAGGATCACTTGAGGCCAGGAGTTCAAGACCAGCCTGGGCAATATAGCAAGACCTCATCTCTAAAATAATAATAATAATAATAATAATAATAATAATAATAATGTGAGAATATAGTGCTTATCAACACAATTATTTTTAACTTAACCCTCACAATGTTGCTTTATGGCAAGAATTACAATCTCATTTTATAAGAAAGGAAATTGGGTGACAGAGAATTTAGGTAACTTGCTCAGAGGTGCATAGATGGTTGGATATGCCAAACTCATTCTTTTGATTCTTAAATTATCAGGGTATCATTGCTGTAATTTAAAGAAATGACTACCCAATGGCAAAAGTATGCATTTTAAACATTGACTAAGTTTTTCTTCAGCTAAAAAAGAAAACTGTGGATTTTAAATCGTTTTCAATGCAATTATTATAGCTTAAAAATGCAATTACATAAATCACACAGATAAAATAATGAACAAATATTAAAGCAAATGAAAAGTTAGACTAAAAAGCCACTTACTTAGCTACATTCATGATTTATCTGTACAAATGTTCTGATTTTGCTTCATAGTTGGTTGAATTTTCTATAATTTCTATTTCTTATTGTCATTTGCTTTCTCGGAATGGTTTCTTTCCAAGTATCTGCTTTGCAGTATAAAATTTAAAATGCCAGGCTTCACAGGCTTTGCTTTCTCATATATTGTCCTTAGGTGAATTATTAGCAAATTGCCTTCCCTTTATGTACTCTTATGATTTATGTTATCTTTCTTCAGCTCTCCTGAACTTCATGTTCTCATGATTTGTCATTCCTCTGTTATTATTATTATTATTATTATTATTATTATTATTATTATTTTGTGTGTGTGTGGGGGTTTTGTCATGCCTCTGGTTTTTGTTCCTAACTGAAATCAAGGAGGTGCCTAACTTCCATGTGCCAGTGGTTTTCAAAGATTTTGAAATGAGGGCATAATAAGACATGCATTTCACATTATGACTCAGTATATTCATGCATATAAATATGAAGCAAATGTTTCACTATGCATATTCCTACTACTTGCATTGTGTGCTGAAAATTCACACTACTTTTTTTTCTTGTATGTCTTTATTTAAAACCCTTTTCAAAACCCACTAAGTTTATTTTGTGATCCACTAGGACCCACACTGTCCTAGAATAAAATTTTCAATTCCTCTGTCAAGGATTCTTGGCTGCAAAACCTGATACTGCATTTCCCCTTAGCCCTTCCACTTCTGTTTTTCTCCTCTTCACTAAACAACTCACTTCTTCATTAACAATATCTCTACTTCATACTACAGAACTTAATCCTACAAATATTTAGTGGGCTTTTAATATTTGTTGATACTGTGTCAGGAACTGGATCTATGAAAATGCTTGTCATTTTCTGTGCCCTGGAGTTGAGTAATGAATTGGGCAGCATCTTTAACAGTGAAATTGGATCATCTTGTGCAGTCTTTTCCAAATTATTATTTAGAGACTGTTGTGTTCTGTTGAGCTTCTCCATTGCCAATTCACATTAACTGACTGATGAGCACGAACCTCCATTTTGCAGATGTCTTATAATAGTGGTTACTGGTAGGAAATGGATGATTGTCAGCTGTCTAATGTCAATGGACAAGATGTAAAAGACAAAATTGACATATAGTTTTAGATAGATGCTTAAGATCTTCTTCATTCTTGATCTCTTTAATTGGCTGAATATATGATTCTAGAGTGAAACAAGAATACAATTTTAAAAGATGATATTTCTGTTGGATTTTTATCCATTTGCCCGCCCAAGATCCTTTTCTTTCTTTTCTTCTATAAAACAAGGAAGGACGACCGCTGAATCTTGTACGCCCTTATTTCCTAGCCTGCTGACTTAGATGGAGTATCTGAGTTGGGCCAGTGAAAGGCAATAGCAGATAGTCAGAAGAAAGAGAGAGGTCTGGATATTTCATGCATTTGTTCTATTTGCTTCAGATCAACATCCTTGGCAGTAGCTACATCTCCTTAGGACTAACTTCCATTGGCACTTCCTCCTCCATAATGCTAGCGCTCTAACAGCTATTTCCTACCCTCATCTCCTCAGTACCAGCGATGGTCATAGCTTGCCATTTTGTTAGATTCAGGATGGCTTATCCTCTCTAGCCCACACTTCTTCAAATAGCCCCTCCATTAAAATATGTTCATATGAGTCATCTGAGGTAAGTTTTTATTCTTGCCCGGATTTGACTGATACAGGACATTTTTTAACTTAAAAAGTAGGTTTGAAACATTTTAGGTGAGGCTTGACTTTAGGACAATATTCTGCACTATTTAAAAACAATTGTAAAAGAGCACTCTCCTGTACACAGGTCTAGTGCCAAGCAAGACAGCAGCATGGATGACCTAAGGCTTTATGCCATTCTATCTTTAAACTTGAAAGAGGGCAAAATGTAATTTTTAAGAGGTGGTTTTGGTGCGTTGTTAAATACATGCTATTCTTTCATTATGATATTGCTAAAAGAATGTAACCTGAGTGATTAATTCATTGTGGACCTAAGAAGTAATAAGAGGAGAGAGTAGTACACAAATATGTTTATAATGTCCAGTTGTTTCAGATGTAGAGGAGGGCATTGATTATCTGGTCTTTAAGATTTCTGAATTGCATCTTATGCCTATGCAGTTTATTTCCCAGTTCTTGTGTAGGAGGATGATGTACTTGTGTAAAAGAGATGATGCCTGCATTATCTCTCATTACTCTCTCTCTTTCAATCTCTTTCTCTGAGTTTGAGTGTGCACACACACATAAGCAAACACAATGATAAAATATTTATGTGATTTATAATGCAAGACTTACTAGTTCTTTATTTACCTGGACTGTGGCATTTTGTGTGCAATTTTAGTGTTTTTTTCTAAGTGGGAAATCATTCTTGTATGAATAAGTATTTGCTATTAATGGACATAAATGGACTTTATGTATTGATGTTACTATTTTAGGAATCCTGTCATATTTTTTTTTCATGGGTTTTTGCTTGACGGTCTCAATTATATTTATTTATATCTAAGACATTTCTATTTACTTTGAAAGGTGTTTTTGGCTTAGTTTTATATAAAAATAGTAGAAAAAAATTGAAATCAAGGAAAGATGTATAAAATTAAATCCATAAAAATCTGATTTTCAGGGAATGGAGTAGAAAACATTGCAAAAAAGTTTCTAAATAAATAAAATGTTATATTAAAATATTCCTACATGTGTTTGAATATTAAATTCAGTAAAAAATACAGATGTGGTTTAAGTTGTGCCGTTTGTATCTTGCTATGAAATATAAATAAAGCTTGTAGTAATGGAGAAACTGATACAGATGGAGAAGTGGTAATAAATTCTGCCTCTGGCTATGCTTAGCAAAATGTTTAGTACAATAAATATTAGGGCATAATTATATCTTTTTAAAAATACTGTTTATGAAAATTTTCATAAATGATCTAAATAAGGTAATCCTGTTTTATTTTCGTGAAACTTACTCATCTTAAAAATACGGTTTTAAATTATTGAGATGTTAAATGAGAGTTTTTAAATTTTTAATCATTAATAAAATCTTACTATTAAAAATAAACTTTATCAAGACAAGTCTGTGTGTATATATATATATATATATATATATATATATATATATACTTTTTTTTTTTTTTTTTTTTTTAAGACAGAGTCTCACTCTGTCTTCCGTACTGGAGTGCAGTGGCACGATCTTGGCTTACTGCAACCTCCGCCTCCCAGATTGGAGACATTCTCCTACCTCAGCCTCTCGAGTAGCTGGGATTACAGGCAAGTGTCACCACACCCGGCTTATTTTTGTATTTTTAGTAGAGATGGGGTTTCCTCATGTTGGCCAGACTGGTCTTGAGCTCCTGATCTCAGGTGATCCACCTGTCTCTGCCTCCCAAAGTGCTGGGATTTCAGGCGTGAGCCACTGCTCCCAGCCTCATATGTTTTTTACTGATACGTAATATTTTACATATTTATAGGGTCCATGTGAGTATTTTTTACATACAAGACTGTGTAATGATCAAGTCAGGGTAATTGGGGTATCCATCATATTAGCTATTTATCATTTCTATGTGTTGGCAACATTTCAAGTCCTCTCTTCTAGCTATTTTGTAATATGTTAATATATTGTTGCTTACTGCTACTCACCCTGATCTGCTATCAAATATTAGAACGCATTTCTTCTAACTGTAAGTTTGTACCTATTCACTACCACCTCTTCACTTCCCCCTCTGACCTTCACACCCTTCCCTACCTGTGGTATCTATCATTCTATTGTCTCTGAGAGATCTTTTTTTTTTTACCTTGCACATATGCATGCAAATGTAGTATTTATCCTTCTGTGCCCTGATTACTTCACTTAACATAATAACTTTCAGTTCAATATATGTTGCTACAAATGAAATGATTTCATTCTTTTATATGGACTAATAGTATTCCATTGTGTGTGTACATTTTCTTTATCCGTCTGTTCACTGATGGACACTTAGGTTGATTTCATCTTTGCTATTGTGAATAGTGCTACAATAAACGTCCAAGTTCAGATATTCCTTTGATATAATGATTCCTTTTCCTTTGGATACCCAATAGTGGGATTGCTTGATTGTATGGTAGTTCTAATTTTTGTTTTGAGAAATCTCCACAGTGTTTTCCATAGTGGTTGTACTAATTTACATTCCTACCAGTAGTGTATAAGTGTTCCCTCTTCTCCACAACCTCACCAGCATTCGTGGGTTTGTTTGTTTTTTGTCTTTTTCATAATAGCTATTCTAACAGGGATGAGTTGATACCTCATTGTGGTTTTCATTTGCATTTCCCTGATGTCTACTGATACTGAGCATTTTTTATATACCTCTTTGTCGTCACTATATCTTCTTTTGAGAAATACCTATGCTTGTCCTTTGCCCATTTTTTATAAGATTATTTGTGTGGTTCTTTTTAATAGTTGAGTTGTTTGCATTCCTTGCATAGTTTGGATATTAGTCCCTTATTGGATGCATAGTTTGCAAATATTTTCTACCATTCAATAAGTTTTCTCTTCACTATTTATTGTTTCCTTTTCTGTGCAGAAGATGTTTTGTATAACATAGTCCTATTTGACTATTTTTGTTTCAGTTATCTGTGCTATTGAGCTCTTAGCCATAAAATCTTTACTTAGATCAATGTTGTGAGGTGCTTTCCCTGTGTTTTCTTCAGTAGTTTTATAACTTTATAATGCCAGTCTGTATCTTTTAAGTGGAGAATTTAATTCATTTACATTCAAGTTTATTGATATGTGAGGTTTCTGTCATATTGCTCGTTGTTTTCTGGTTGTTTCTTATAGTCTTTGTTCCTTTTTTTCTTTTCATTGTCTATCACTTTGGTTTGGTGGTTTTTTTAATGGTGTCATTTGAGTCCATTCTCTTTGGTATTTGTCTGTTTGCTTTACCGTACTTTCATATGCTTCCATGATGGTAAACATTGTTTGTTTTCCTCCAGGTGTAGGACTCCCTTAAGCATTTTTGCTAGGTCTGCTTTATGATGAAGAATTCCCTGGGAAAGATTATTTCTCATTAATTTATGGAGGATAATTTTGCTGGATATATTATCCTTGGCTATCAGGTTTTATTTCTTTCTTTCTTTTCTTTTTTCTTTTCTTTCTTTCTTCCTTTCTTTCTTTCCTTTTTTCTTTTCTTTCCTTCCTTCCTTCCTTTCCCTCCCTTCCTTCTTTCCTTCCTTCCTTCCTTTCTCTCTCTCTCTCTTTCTTTCTTTCTTCCCTACCTCCCCCTCCCTCCCTCTCTCTCTCCTCTTTCTTTCTTTCTTTTTCTTTTTCTTTCCTTCTTTCCAACATATCTTCCCATTCTCTCATGGCCTATAAGGTTTCTGCTGAGAAATCCAGTTAGTCTGATTGGGGTTTCCTTATAGGTAACTAAATGCTTTTATCTTTCTGTTTTTATAATTCTCTCTTTGTTTTTCACTTTAAGCAGTTTGACTTCAAGATGCTGTAGAGAGGACCTCTTTATACATTTCTGGGGATCTCAGAGCCTTCTGTATATGGATTTCTAAATTTCTCGCTAGACTTGGAAATGCTTCATGTATTATTTTGTTAAATAGGTTTTCTTTCCCTTTTGTTCTCTCCTTGCATTCTGGGACTTTGATAATTCAAATATTGGGTTGCTTCATGGTGTCCCATATGTTATGAAGCCTTTGCTTTTTCTTTTTTATTCTTTATTTTTGCCTCATTGGGTTATTTCAAAAGATCTGTCTTCAAGTTTTAACATTCATTTTCTGCTTAATCTAGTGTATTATTGAAGTTTTTGAAAGTATTTTTTTTCCTTCATTTCATTCTTCAGTTGCAGAATTTTTGTTTTGTTCTTTTTATGATATTTATCTTTTTGGTAAATTTCTCATTCATATCTAAAGTTATTTTTCTGATTTCTTTGTATTAATTCTCAAGATTGTCTTATATATAATTGAGCATATCTAGAATCTGTAATTTTAATTCTGGCCAAGTGTGATGGCTCACACCTATATTATCAGCACTTTGGGAGCCTGAGGCAGAAGAGGATCACTTGAGGCCAAGAGTTCAAGACATGTCTGGGCAACATACCAAGACTCTGTCTCTACATTTTTCTTTTTTTTAATTGGGTAGGTGTGGTGTGCTTATAGTCCTAGCTACTCAGGAGGCTGAGGTGGAAGGATTGATTGAGCCCAGGAGTTCAAGGCAACAGCATGCTATTACATACCAACTGCACTCCAGCCTGGGTCACAGAACAAGTCCCAATAATAATAATAATACAATAATAATAATAATTTGGATTCTTTTTCTGGAATGTTTTGAATTTCTTTTTCATTAGGATCTTTTGCTGGAGTATTATTATGTTCGTTGGAGGTGCCATGTTCCCTTGCTTTTTTATGTTTTCTTTATGCTTATGTTGACATCTGCACATCTGGTGTAACAGTTGCTTCTTCCAGTTTTTAAATTTGCTTTAATAGCAGAACACTTTTTCCTAAAGATGTATCTACGGTGTTGGTTATGTAGGACACTTTGGCTTTGATTCTGTGTCCATGCAGTAATGTAGTCTCTGTATCATTCCTTCAGCTGTGAACAGCATCCACGGTCTCTGATTTTCTTGGTGGCTTAGGGAGCAGTTATTGGTGGAGGCTGTGGTAAAGTTTTCCTGCGGACTGCAGCACCAGGTTAGATCAGTCTTCAGGCCCTAGTGGTGGAGGTGGTGGGTTAAGCATGTCTGTCTTTGGGCTGCAGGGTAGTATATGCTGGCACTGGTGTTAATGGGTCCAGTTTGGCCTATTCTTAGGCCTCTGGGTGGCTTACTCAGATGCTAATAATGGCAGTAATGTAGCGGGTGGGTGGGCAGGTTCTTGGGGCCCCAGCCAACTGACATGGAATTAGCAATGTCATTGTCAGTGGCAGGATAGCCCTCTGAATTCTGAGTGCTGTGTGCTGGTGTTGGTGGTGACTGTAATGTAATGTGCAGGCCAGTCTCCATGCCAACAGGTAGCACATGAAGGTAGGTGCCAGCTATGGTGTGTATGCCCAACCTCAGGTCCCCCTGGAGAAGGTTCAGATGCCAATGATTATTGACTCAGCTCGGCAATCCCCTTGTCCCCAGGCTGCATGCCCTGGCACAGGGCTATGGCAAAGCCAAGCTGGGCGGGCTTGTTCTCAGGCCCCCAATTGTAAATGAAGATGCCAGCCATGGTAGGCAGGAGGACAACCCCCAGCCACTGGTGAAATGTTTGGGAGAGGGTGGCAACAGCCTAACTGCTTCCCTGCAAATGGGAAAGGCAGTGCTGTTTTTGGTGTTGAACATCCTAGGCCAGCAGGTGAGGAGATGCCCCATACTCACGACTCAGCCCTGGCAGTTCTCAAGCCTCAGGCCCTGCTGCAGTAGCTGGCAGTTTGCTCATGCCTAAGCCTCAACAGCAATAGTCCATGCTTGGATCACATCTCAGCCCCTGGTATGTTAGCCCATGATCACTTGCACCTAAGCTTCAGGTTGCTACCTTGGAAGTAGAAGCCACTCTTATATTGCATCTCAGACCTGGCATCACTGGGCTCCAGGACAGTGTGCAGTCCATTGGGTGCAGGGCTCTAAAATGGTACCTTGCTATAGCTGATTGAGCTTCTTTAGAATCAATAATTTGAATTCTGACCAGGAGTGGTGACTCACACCTGTAATTTAAGCACTTTGAGAGGCCAAGTTGGGAAGATAGCTTGAGGCCAAGTCTCATGGAGCATGTGGGACCCAGCACAACCACCCTCCACTCCCTGGAGCAGTTCCATTGCACAATCTCCTGGAAGTTCCCTATGTTAGTTGTAGGGCCGGCGAGGATTGAGGATTGCAGTGCTCTTCCATGGCTAGGATTGCAGGAGTCCATGGTGGGAATATGGACCACTGACTTACCTTTTCCCCATATTGGGAAGTGTCTCTTGGCTTCCAGCTGATCTCCTTGTTCCATATAGGTTTTTAATGTGGGCAATATATTCTTTTTTTTTTTTGAACTTTTATTTACCACTACACTATTTTCAAAGACCTTTTAACTGCAATTTATATATTTCTGATATCAAACATTTTGTTGTTCCGTTAAATATATTTTAATTAGTAGTTATCTTTATCTTTGATAAATAATAAAATTAACATTATTTATCTTAAAAGCTTATACATTTGAATATGTGAATGGAGTTTTCCCAATAATGAATTCTTATGTTTCTCTTTTTACTTAATATCATCATGAGCAGCATCATTTATGGCTAATAATATGGGTTTAGAAAAAGTAACAAGAAAAAAAGGGTACATTTATTTTATGAATTGAATATCAGAAGAACAAAACATTCTGCTCTAATGTGTATACTAGGAAAAGTATTAGAATACTTCTGAATTGATTGATAGGAAATCTATAATTTTGCATCTCCATAGCCTTCAACCGCTTTTGTCTTCCTTTCAATGTCTAATGAACCAGTATGTACTTTGGTTTCTTTCCAGAGTTTTATAATTCACATTGAATAATTCTATCATGCTGATTCTTCAAAGAAAGGCTGTTCTTGGAGTCTAAAATTCAGCTTCATTTATAAATGTAAAAGCAGGAAATAATGTGTAAGGAGGATAATTTACGGTCATACCCACTTCTTCTTCATCCAAGTTCCTTAATTTCCAAATTTCTATGACATTAGGTAACAATAAATCTGTTTTTTTTACCCATTGTTCATTTATAGAAAAAGTATTCACTAAAATTCTACTGCTGACAAGCACTAGTGATGCAAAATATCTGTGAAAAAAAACTTTCAAAGATCCTTGGGCTGATGGAGCCTACATTTGAGGAATTACAGGGGGTAAGCAGAAAATTAAAAATAACCATAAAAATAATTAATTTCGAATTTGAAATAAGAGTAAGAAATTGTGATGTTGATAAGTACAATGGTAAAAATAGAGCAGGTTACAGTGGATTGTTTAATGTCCCAAATCGACTGAATACTTGAATGTGTCTATACATAACTATGTTAAGCATGTATTTTATTTCCTTAAGAAAACAGCTGTGAGAGCAAAGTCCATTACATCGATGTGTATTAGATTTCACAACTTCAGCATAATTAACATTTCAGGCCAGATAATTTTTGGTGTGGGGTCCACCCAGTGCACTGTAGGCTATGTTAGCAGCATCTTTTACCTCTAGCCATTAGGTACCAGTAGCACACCCTCCTCCTACCAGTGTGACAATCAAAAATGTCTCTGAATGATGATAAATATCTCTAAAGAGGCAAATAGCCTCCACTGAAGAACCACTGATGAACATGAATAGGAGAGCTCTTTTCAGAATTTTTTTCTAGAAAAAAAAATGTACTGCCCTTGAGGAGGACACTTGGTGCAACATCTTTATATTTGCACTGCCAGCCAGAAACTATAGAACCACGAGATCAACAATTTTGCTTTTTTCTCTTTATAGAATCCCCTCTTACTATTTCCATTTTTTCTTCTGGATTTTCTCAAAGAGACACCAAACCTTTTGTGGACAAAAGGAGATGTAAATACATTAAACTGCCTCTGTTGGTTTTCCTTTGTTTTCCACTCCCCTTAGCAATCTACTAGTCTGAGCCTTCATCCTTTTAGAACTGAGTTACTGCCATGCCTTCCTTTCACAGTTCTCTCATGCCATGATGTAGAACACTACCAGAGTAACCTTCTCAGAGCAATTATTTCACCCTATAACATTCTTACATAAAATATTCTCAATAAACAAAGTTCAAAAATCTGAAAAATAAAGTACTTTAGAATTTACTCTCCAATGTGGTTGACCTGCTCAAGGCCAGTGATATAATCATGATTGTCTCAAAATACTTTGCTCATCCTCATCTTTATAGCATATCCTGTTTCTTTTAACTGGAAACACTTCCTAACTCTATGGCTTTCCTAAATCTATACGTTTTTCTAGCAAGTTAAGATTTCTAACTATTCCATGAAACCTTTTTATGTTGTTGTTGTTGTCATTTGCAACTCTCCTGAATACACACTGATCTTATGTTAGCACATTTTATATTTTTGAAAAATGTGTTTTCTCTCATTTAGACCACCAACAGATTGTAAACCCCTTGAAGAGCGATATTGAGACTTATATTTATATTTATATTTATGCCTAGACTCCAGTGCTGTAAACCCAAAAGGTAGACAATAAATGATTAGTGGTTTGTGTTGATTGCTTGGGGCTGTAGAAGGTGTCCTGGAGCTTCTGGTTAAGATGGTGAAATTAGCTGACATGGACCTAAGAAACAACTCCTATTACCCAATTCACATACAAATACTAGACTGAAAAATTTGAGGTAATAAAAATGGAAAGTAAGACAATGAAATCTTCACGTGCCAGAAATTAAGAGGAAATTTACAGCAGTGCCTAGGAGTGGACCCATGTAACTCATGGGTATAAAGCTGTCCCTATATAAGCCTTAAAGGATAGAGTTTAATTCTGTTTAGAGGTCAGAATAAAGACCATAGGCTTCTTGTATCTAAGAGTTACTAATCCTGATCTTCCTTTATAAATCTAATTATAGGATAAAGGAGGTCCTAATGAAAAACTTCAGCCTGCTGGCGCAAGGCTGTAAGTACAGAGTCAAATGAAATGACTGATTTTCAGCCTTATAACACAAATAGGTGTGTGACCTAAATTCCTGCCCGATACTCATATAGTAGAAGTTTTCAAAGAAGAAATTAACAAAATCCCCCAAGAAGTTCAATAAACATAAGACACATCAGACCAAAGATAAGTCAACAATAAAATATTACAAAACACATGAGGAAATAGGAAGCCTAGTGACGTTGTGTAGTAGTTAGAAATAACAACTAGAAGAGTAGTAGAAGTATCTTCTATGTACAAGAAGAATTTAAATAAATTTTAAAATAAGAATATCTGATATGGTTGAATAAATGAAAGAAGAAATAAGATTTGCAAGACAAGACAGGACAGTATAATAAAAAAAGAAAAAGGATGCTTTGCAGAAAACCCAAATGTAAATTTTAGACAATAAAAAACCAATTGAAATAAAAAACTCAATGGGATGGGTAAAGGTGAACCAGACACAATTTAGAATAATATTCATATGCCAAAAGATGGACCTGAGAAGATGACCAGAATGCAGCACCATGAGATGAAGAGAAAATCATGAAGGAAGGAATAAGATGGTCCTATACATGTCCAATAGGAAGTCAGGGAGAGAATCAAGAAAATGGGGCCAATTTATTGTTTGAAAACATATTTTATAAAAAAATTTCAAAACTATAAACATAGTAAGTCCTAAAAATAATTTAAAGTCTTCAGATGGATAAATTAGATACATGTGTATTATACTGTAGAACAACAAAAAAATGAAGTTTTTTAACCTTTTAGAGAAAAAAAGATTTACAAATAAATATAAATTACTGACAAATTTCTCACCAGTGAATTTCTCATCAGCAAAACTTAGTGAAGAAGATAGAGGAATACTATTTCCAAAGCACTGACAGGAAATAATTATTGACTTTCAGTTCAATATCAAACTAAATTGTCATTCAAGTTAGAGAACAATAATTATATTTTTCAAACCTATAAACAAGAGTTTATCAACTACAAAACTTCACTGAAAGAACTGGACAAGATAAGCTGAAGCCCGAAGGAAACCAACATAAGATAAAATAATGGAATGTAAAATAAAGATGAGTCCCAAATTGAGAAAACACAATATTCAAATATAAAAAAAAATCTAACTTAAAAAGAATAATGAGAATATATAGGAGTATGGTTAAAGCAATGTAGAGGGAGATACAGGATAACACTAAATGAAAAATAAAAATGGATGACAGTTCAAAGTAAAGTACAAGCCTATTCAGGAGGAGAGAGAATGTGGAGCAGCCCTATGGGGCCGAATAAAAATATTAATGTTATATTTTGTTGGAATATTTTGAAGCCAGTTTGCCTGTTTAAAGTATAAAACAAAACATGTATTTCCCAAATTATTACACGGAATAAAAAAAGAAAGAAAATGTGATCAATCTAGTGGAAGGTACAAAATAGAACTGGAGAGGAAGCAAAGAATAAAAGGTAAAATGTATGTACATACCATATTTATATGTGTCAATATAGATAGAGCTTTAAGAACAGTTTTGACTAAAAACTGAAAGGGCACATTGCGAAAAGATTTCAGAGTATACATGGTTTCTTGTTTCTGAGTACATAGACAGATGATAGAATAGAGATAGATTTAAAATTTAAAATCATGAATTAGAAAGATGGACATTCAATTTACATCTGGAAAAGGAGGACATAAAATGGTATTGAAGAACTAGAAATTTCCATTTTAACATTATTATTGTATAAACTATGATGAAATCAATATGATGAGATTGTCATTCTCTGATGGTCTCTGAAATTCAATTTTGTTTCCCAAAATAAAGATGTGGTGCAGAACCATGCAATTTATCTCCATCTTTGACCTTAAATAAATGGGTTTTATCTTACTATTTCTCATATTTCACTAACTTTAAAATGAGTAGATTGCACTAAATTGTCTCACAACCCTCATTCAATCCTAACACACTGTGCAGAACATAAATAATACTGAAGATTTAGCAGCACTGAGCAAAGCAATGTCACTCAGGGGAATTTGTTTCCCATTTGAAGAGTAATGTGCATAATTTCTATGATAGTATTGTAAAACCTCAGATAATTAACTGTGACTGTAATTGTTTGGGTAATAAAATGTTAAGCATTCATGCATGTTCTGACCTCTGCAATGCAAAGTATTGTTCATGGATGATCCCTGAAGAATAACGTGGGCTTTCTTTCACCACCAGTCATGCTGAGTTCCACTGATTCATGCCTTTGCTAGCTGGATATCCCTTAGCCATTATTTCTCTTTCTCTTGTCCTGTTGTTAGTCCAGGACAGACTTGACAGAGGTGATACTGGCAATGGTCAGGGGAAAAAGAAGGATAAATGAGCTTTAAACATCTTTCATTCAAAATTCACTGATACTTTCCTACATTCCAGGGATGCTATCTCTTAGGGAACATTTACTACCTCATGCCCTCTACTCCCTCTTTTAAATGTCGGTATAGAAATTCCAACCCTCAAGAATCTACCTAAATTTCCTTAGCGACAAATTAGGGGTTTTAGAAATAGAAAGAGGGTTCATACAAGTTTGACTCCCCTTCATCCACAATTCTTCTTCCTTTCTTGCTAGAACTCTAAAAATTCAGAGCACCTCAAATGGCAAGGCAATTGTGAGAGAGAATGGAAGAAACTGATTGTGAGAGACAGACAAAGTTGTTAGAAGCCATACTTAGTAGCAATGATGAAGCTCTTGAGATCACTCCAGTTTCCCTAAAGAAATCCCATGGGTTTACTCAGTCTTCTGTGCTTTTCCTAATTGTCTAGGTGTCTGTTTTTACATCCCTGTAAATCCTCAATCTCCTGAATTGTTTTTCCAGTAACTCTGCAAGAATTCTTAAACTGCAAGTTCCTGTTACCCCAATTTGGGATTCTGAGTGCATTCTTCCTTCCACTAAAGTAATAATAATACAATCACAACATGAAGTTTATTTCTTTTAGTTTCTAATATAGTAAATTATGACATTCTTAACTATTTTTCTGTTAGTCAAGAAAATTGACCTATTAATATCAAAACTAAATAAATACAAGTTTATGTTACACTGGATTGTACAATTCATAGTGAAAAGATAATCTACTGACTTTGAATAGATGTTATTTATTGGGTATGTTTATAAGTATCCTAGACTGACAATGCATATACTCTATTACAGCTTGTATCAGTGTGATATCTCACTTTTCTGTTAGATTTAAAAATTAGCTAGTCTCCTAGGGGAAATGCTTCATGACATTGGTCTGGGCAAGGATTTTTTGGATAAGACCTCAAAAGCACAAGCAATAAAAGCAAAAACAGACGAATGGAATTACATCTAACCAAAAAGTTTCTGCACAACAAGGGAAACAACAGAGTAAAGAGACAAGCTACAGAAGAAAAAGAAAACATTTGCAAAGTATATATCTGACAAGGGGTTAATATCCAAAATATATAAGAAACTCAAACAATTCAACTGCAAAAAAAAACCCGACAAATAACTCACATTAAAAAATGGGCAAAAGACCTGAACAGACATTTCTCAAAAGAAGATATACAAATGGCAAACAAGTACATGAAAGAAAGGTTCAACATCACTAATGCAAATCAAAACCACAAATCACATCACCCCAGTTAGAATGTCCATGTGTCCATTATCAAAAAATTATGAAAGAAAGCCAGTTTTGATGAGGATATGGAGAAAATGGAACCCTTATACACTGTTGGTAGAAATGTAAATTAGTACAGTCCTTATGGCAAATAATATGGAAGGTCCTTAAAAACTTAAAAATAGAACTACCAAATGATCCAGCAATCCATATTATTGGTTATATGGCAATATACTGCATAACAATATTTCATTCAATTATAGATTTCATATACACGGTGGTCTCATAAAATTATAATACTGTATTTTTACTATGCCTTTCTGATTAGATACACAAATACTTACCATTGTGTTGCAGTTGCCTACCGTTTTCAATACACTGACATGCTGAACAGGTTTAGAGCCTATGAGCAATAGGCTATACTATATAAGCCTAGGTGTGTGGTAGGCTATACTATCTAGGTTTGTGTAAATCCCTTCCACAATGTTTGGATAGTGATGAAACCACCTAATGGCATAGTTCTCAGAATGTATCCCCATGGTTAAGCAGTGCATAACGTATATTCAAAGGAATTGAAATCAGTATGTCAAAGAGATATCTGCACTCCTATGTTTTTTGCAGCACTAGTCACAATTGCCAAGATATACAATCAAGCTATGTGTCTCATATGACTTGGATTTGTTTTCTCACTGAAATCTCATGTCAAATTGTAATCCTCAGTGTTGGAGGAGGGACTTCATGGGAGGTGATTGGAACAAAGGGGCAGATTTCCCCCTGACTGTTCTCCTGACAGTGAGTTCTCAGGAGTTCTGGTTGTTTAAAAGTGTGTAGCACCACCTTCCTTCTCTCTCTTCCTCTTCCTCCAGCCATGTAGGATGTGCCTGCTTCCCCTTTGCCTTCTGCCATGACTGAAATTTCCTGAGGCCTCCCCACCCATACTTTCTGTACAGCCTGTGAAAACGTGAGCCAGTTAAATCTCTTTTATTTATAAATTGCCCAGTTTCCGGTATTTCTTTATAGCACTGCAAGAACAGATTAATACAGTGTCTATCAATAGATGAATGGGTTAAAAAATGTGATCTATATACACAATGAAATACAATTCATACATAAAAAGAATGAAATCCTACCATTTGCAACAACAGGGATGAACCCGTAGGACAGTATTTTAATGGAAAGAAGCCAAGTACAGAAATACAAATACTGTATGACTTCACTCTTATTTTTTATTTTTTTCTTGAGACAGAGTCTTGCTCTGTCGCCCAGGCTGGAGTGCAGTGGCCTGATCTCGGCTCACTGCAAACTCCGCCTCCCGGTTCACGCCATTCTCCTGCCTCCCGAGTAGCTGGGAATACAGGTGCCCACCACCACGCCCGGCTAATTTTTTTGTATTTTTAGAGAGATGGGTTTTCACCGTGTTAGCCAGGATGGTCTGGATCTCCTGACCTCGTGATCCGCCTGCCTCAGCCTCCCCAGGTGCTGGGATTACAGGCGTGAGGCACCGTGCCCGGCCTGTATGACTTCACTCTTACGTGGAATCTAAAAATGTTGATCTCACGGAAATAGAGAGTAGAATGATGGTTATGAGTGGCTGGAGTGGTTAGCGGAGAGAGAGATGTTGGTCAAAAAATACATAATTACAGTTAGATAGGAGGAATAAATTTCAAGAGATGTGTTGTACCGCCAGGTGACTATAATGATGATGTATTCCTGAAAAACATAGAACGTGAATGTTACATTCTTTCATTACAAAAATTATAACTATGTAAACTAACATATTTGTTAATTAGCTAGATTTAACCATTCCACAATGTATATGTATAGTTGACCCTTAAACAACATAGGGGCTTAGGGGTGCTGACTTCCTGCACAGTCGAAAATCAATGTATAACTTTGACTCTCCAAAAACTTAACTACAAATAGCCTACTATTAGCTGGAAGCCTTACCAATAACATAAACACAAAAATGTCAATTGACACATTTTTAAAATTTTATACATATTATATATTGTATTCTTACAATAAAGTAAGCTAGTGAAAACAAAACGTTATTAAGAAAATCAGAGGAAAGAGAAAATATATTTACTATTAAGTGGAAATGGATCATTATAAAAATCTTCATCCTTGTTGTCTTCATGTTGAGTAAGCTGAGGAGGAGGAGGAGGAGGAAAGGATGGGTTGGTCTTGCTGTTTCAGGGATGGCAGAGGCAGAAGAGGTGGAGGAGGTGGAAGAGGAGGCAGGATAGGCAGACACACTCAGTGCAACTTTTCTTTAAAAAAAAATCTGCATATAAGTAGACCTGAGCAGTTCAAACCTGTGTTGTTCAAGGGTAACTGTACTTCAAAACATCATGTTGTACACAGTAAAAGCATGCAATTTTAATCTGTCAATTTTTAAAAATTGGCTAGTTTGCAATACTCTCTCAAAAGCATAAAATTATATTTAAAGCTTTATTACTAATAAATGAGCATATAAAACCACTTAAATTCTTCTTTGAATATTGTATATTTTTATATAAGTGATAATATGTTATCAAGTGTTAAGGATTATGTATATATATATCTTTAGCACATATATATGTGTGTATGTATATATTCTTAACATCTTTAATATTTTATATAGTTTTTAAGTCCAACATTTCAGGTTTCTTTAGTTTCTTTTGGGTAATACTATACTTTCATCTTTTATAAAACTTCCAACCTTTATAAAAAGTTTAGTTACCTGAAAGTTTCAGTAAATGACCTTCAGAGGGTTACGGATTTATGAACATATACTCTAAATCAATTTTATTTAGCTCCTTTCATGTAGTATGTAAGGAATCAAGCCCTATTTTCTTATAGTGATTTTCAGTGAAGATGCGTAAGTAGTATTTTGGATGAAACTTCTTATATTTTTAACAAAATATAAGTATTTTTTTCATTATAAGGATGAATATAAAAATATTTTATTGTATATGTGTAATATGATTGAATTTTTTGTTGATTCACATTATTATGTAAAATTAGGTGGTATTTTATTACATATGCAGAAGAGTTGCTTATTTGAAACAAAAATTGTCACCAGAATATTTCTATCCACCTGAGTAGAAAAATTGCAGTTGTTAAATTTGAATAATCTTTCTTTGAGTAAAAAATGTGGTATTAGGTTTAACATTTAAATGAAACAGAGCTCTACTAAAGCCTGATACTTAGCTTCCTCCAGGCAACTCATGAACTAAGTTGCTTAGGTAAACTCATCCTTTATTTGTATTTATTATTAGTCTCTTTATTAATTTTCATTTGACTTATGTTGACTTATATTGATTAGCCGTCTTTCTTTCTTTTTCTTTTTTTTTGAGACGGGGTCTCACTCTGTCGCCCAGGCTGGAGTGCAGTGGCGCCATCTTGGCTCACTGCAACCTCCACCTCCCGGGTTCAAGCAATTCTCCTGCTTCAGCCTCCCGAGTAACTAGACTAGACTAGCCTTTTTTTTTTTTTTTTTTTTTCTTTTTTTTTTTTTTTTTTTTTTAGGGGCGGTATAGGGTCCATTATCACTTCCCAATACATTCAGAAAGTCTACACTTGGCACACAGTGATAACTAGAAGTTATTCCCCTTGAGCATTTCATATAAGAATTGCCAATTATGAGAACTAGTTCTTTCTTAACACTTCTGTTTCATTGTCTTTACAAATAGAAATCGTAAGTCATAAGATGTTTGATTTGAAGAAGGTGTTAATTTACTCCATTTGTGCTGCTATAACAAAATACCACAGACTCAGTAATTTATAAAGAAGAAAAATTTATTTCTCATTGTCCTGGAGCCTGGGGAGTTTAATATCAAGGTGCCTGCAGGTTTGTTGTCTGGTAGAGTCAGCTCTCTGCTTCCAACATGGCATCTTGTTCCAGCATCCTCTGCAGGGTCTGAATACTGTGTCCTTAAGTGGCAGAAGGGGTGGAAGGCAATGAACCCCCTCCCTCATGCCCTTTTATGAGGACCCTAATTTTATCCATGAAGGCTCTGCCTTCATGACTTAATCACCTCTTTAAGGCCTTACATCTTAATACTATCACATTGGCAATGGAGTTTTAACATATGAATTTTGGCAGGCACATTCAGACCATAGGAAGGAGGGAGGTTAAGAAATAAAATAGTTGTGATTATGTATTTAATGGATGAGGAGACTGAGGCAACCCAGAGATGACACGTTTATGTTAAATCAAACAACTTCATCTAACAATTTTGAATATAATATATATCTGTAGGAAATGTAGATTAACATTTGTTGAAGGAAAATAATATCTCTTTTTAGCTTTTTAGTTTTCTGCTTATAATGGAATCCAGATTTGCAGTGTGTTTTTTGTTATATTTCAGGAACTTAATAACATCAGAGGGTCATACTAAACTAGTGCATTTTGAGTAAGCAATTTTATCTCTCTTTGTGATATGTTTCAAACTGCCAGAATCTTCTTAATATCTCTGGATTTTCCTCCTATTTCCCAGCAAGTTTAATGTGAATGACTGAGGGGGGTCTTACTAAATAACAGGTATACAGGTGGTGGAACGGCCTTTGGGCAGACTCACATTACATTGCTATTACGATGACTAAGTGATGAAAATTAGTTACTGTAATAAAATATTCCTTAAGCCAAATTGGTGCAGGTTGAAAAACTGATGTTCACTTTTAATTTTGGCCTCTATCACACCTGTTAAAAGACAGCTATGAAAAATCAGTATGAAGACTTTACTACTATAGTACAACCATCAGTAAAATTAGAATATTTTTCCAAAGTTATTTTTTCTGGTAATTACTTGAAATTAAAAGATTACACAACCCCATATTTGCTTTATGGCTTCCCACTTCAGCACTTCTTCCCATTGTTTTCTGGTGACTTTTATAACCACACAGGAGCAAACCTACATTATATTCAACTTTCCCATAGATTGATATTGTACTTCCTTGCCCAATTTGAATGTTTTTTGGCAGCCATCTTTAGAGGAAGGAAATTTGCTTGTAGCAGACTTGTAATTTTTATGTAACTGTTAAAATATGATATTGTGTGATAAGTATTACTCTTCCCTTTCAAATTTCACTACCAAAGAGCTTCCACTAGTCTTAAAAAATAATGATAACAATGGAAAAGGGAATCAGAAAGAAAATAAATTTTATAGTATAACAAACAATCCTAGTTTTATAATATGTTTCTAAAGCATCATAAAATCTAATTTTCAGCCATAAATATGGGATATATCATAAATTATCTTTTCTTTAAACATAGGTAGAAAACTCAAGCATGATAAAACCTAAGAAAACATATATGTCCTATATGAATAATTGTTCTATCTATATTGCTAAAATGTAATGGCTTGCATGTAATCCTCTTTTAAATCCATTGCATACAGTGCCACTCTATTAAAATGAATATTTGTTATGATTATATCATCTTAAAATATGCAGAAAAATGTATTGTGAGTAGAGTCAGAGTAAATAAAATGAAGTAATTGTATGATATTTGATCATTGTGAATAACAATATGAATAATTTAGTACTTAAAATACTCATGCATCAATAGAATGAGAATTATACAAATAATAGACTCATAATTCCTCTTTACTAACCTATTTCCACACAGTGATTTTATAATTTTATCATGAAAATAGTGTTTTTCTCCTCTGAGGATTGGAAAGTTGTAAATAAGAAGAAGGAATAAGGAATTATTTCCTCTTGAATTCATTCAGCTTTGCTTAGCAGTTTACACCAAATAAGTTCCAGAGACTACAATTACTAAGCAAGCATAAATTTGAATACAGAAGCCAACAAGAATTGTTGCATTATATGCTGCATTTGAATAGGCAATCAAAATGTGAGTTGATAACAATCACATTGTTTTCTGTAGGAAACTTCATTTCTCCTGTGAAAATTCTCAGCATTTTATATAATAAGGTAAACACAAGAACATGATTTGTATGACTTGTCAATGCAAGCAGTAAGCAGAACCCAGCAGGTATTTCCTCTGACCACCAGAAAAATACTTCATATCTTTCAAAGATACTGTGTAAGCAGTATCCAAGATTGGGCAGAGCTCAGTGAGGTCACTGTATCAATCTCTGTATCTGCATAACAGATTCCAATAATTATCTGCTTTCATAGCCTACTTAATTTGTAGATAGATAACTATCACATGCCACAATTTTATAGCTGATTGAAAATCTCAGCTGTAAGAATTAAAATAAATTTGTCATCTTTGTGTTTTCCCATTTTCTATGGAACAGATGGGCATTATATGGTATTATGCATTACAGCATACTTTCATCGATTTATTGTGAATTGAGTCAACCTGTGTTTTCAAAGTGATTGATTATGAATGTGATTACAAGACTACCTTGGGCTACCAAATTTTTAGGGTGTTCAAGCAATAGATTGGGGAGTTTGGGCAATCAGTTCTTTACTTTAGACAATTAAGGAAATTGTATTTTCAAGATTGCAGAATGTTATTTTATATATATTTAAATGAGCAATAGTCTCAAGATAGTTGACTTGGAGACTACGTAAAAGGTTTCTATAACAACACTTTGGGTACCAAGCACCACTTTTTTGAATTTGTCAGTACCTAGTTGAGAGTACTTCTGAAATTTTGATGACTAACATTGACATGACTATATGTCTTATAGGATAATTTGTCATTTAGATTTTATGCTGCTTGAGAGTAAAAATAGTTACTTGTTCATAATAATATTACCAATATTTGGCTTATAATATTTATACCATATGTTTTTTGAAAATAAATCTGTAAATCTATTATGTGCCAAAGTTGTACTTTCCATTTATTATCATTTATTCTCCTAAGGACCTTAAAAGCTGAATAATATTATATTATTATTGTTGTTGTTGTTACTCTTGCCTCTGAAAAGTTAAGGAAATTTTCCTATTTACCCAGCTATTCATTGACAAAGTTAGTAACCTAAAACTGTCCATAATCCTAATCTTAGGCAGTTTCTTCTGAGTGACATAGGGTCAATCAGACCCTGCTCCTGGATAAGCACTAGATGATTGCTAAGGATAATGGAAGTGGTGAATAACATCAGGATGCTAGAGATTTATTTGAAATCTTCCCCAAAGTTTTTCATTTTGCACACATATAAGAGAACAGCTTGAAAAAAAAAACCTAACTAAGAAATCCAGGAAAACAGTGTTTAGTCTGTGGCTCATCTGTCTCTTTCTCTTTGAAGTTTCTGGGTGATATCCTCTGCTCTACTAGCTGTCATTCTCACCAACTTGTGAATGACACCAAAAACTCTTGTTTCAAATTATCTCCTGAGTTTCAAACCTACAGACTCAATACCTAACCCAGTGCTACTTGATACCAAGAATATATGTTACCAATAATCCTAAATCCCTGCTGCTCACTAACACCCTTAAAGATGATTACTGGCCCAACCTATTCCAGTTTGCTGCAGCCCCTTGAGTGCTATGATTTGGACTTGAACACCTGCCTAGGAGTGCCATTCTTTCCTTGTTTAATATCTCCAAAATTGCACTCTGAATTGGTCCGTTTTTGTTTTCCATCTTCTAGCATGTTATATAAAGTCAGTAGTTTAGGAGACAATTCTACTCCTTTTCAATTCTTGTCTTTCAAAAGCACTCTAGATAAAAAGCCTTTGTAATCCGTTTGCCTGCAGAGGTTTCATTTCAAACTCCAAAGAATCTTACTTTCACAGTCAGCTTCCAAACTACCTTTCCAAGCTAATTCCCTTTCCCTTCTAAGCTCACCCAGTCCTATACACCACTCATCTAAAAGTAATACTTCCTGCACAGTTATTTAAAAAATACATTGTCCCTTTACACATATGGTTTCTCCTATCATGATTTGCCTCTTTTCTGTCACCCAGATTCTACCTACGTTTTCTCTACTATGGCTCCTCCATGCCCTCAGACTTTCTTCTATAAACCCACAGTACTTTTATATAACATTAAAACACTATAATTATTTCTGTATAAATACTTAAGTTTTCATAATTATACTACTTGATAGACATACATTTTATCTCAATGTCGGCTTCCTCATTATTAAAATGTCAATAATATTACTACCTACATTATAGACATATGGACACTGGAGATTTAAAACATGCAAAACATAATGCCTAGTATCTAATAAGTACTCAATAAATGTTCCATAATGCAGTGTGCTAACCATCTGTTACTATTGCAGCACAACACTGGGAACTACCTTCAATAAAAGTTCTATGTAATACTTACATGTTAATCTTTATTAAAAATGTTTTCATTGCCCCACAAAACTACAAATTTCTTTTTTTTTTTTTTTTGAGAGAGAGAGAGCCTTACTCTGTTGCCCAGGCTAGAGTGCAGTGGTCCAATCAAGGCTCACTGCCGCCTCAACCTCCCAGGCTTAATCGATCCTCCCACTTCAGCCTCCCTAGAAGCTGGGACTACAGGTGTACAGGTGCACACCACTATGCCTGGCTTTTTAAAAATTTTGTTAGAGACAAGGTCTCACTACGTTGCCGAGGCTGGCCTTGAACTCCTGGGCTCAAGCAATTCTCCCACCTTGGCCTCCCAAAGTGCTGGAATTAGAGGTGTGAGCCACTGTGCCTGACCAAACTATAAATTGCTTGATGAAAATATAACATCTTATTTACCTTTGGAACTGTGAGAGATCCAGTGGACTAGTTATTTATTCCTTAACATCTCTACATCTCTATGTTGGTAAATCTGAATCTTATTTTTTTATTTCAAAAAGTGAGGATTGTACATATAGCAATGTAAATTGGATAATATAATCACTACTGAGTAGGGATTGAACACATTTTTCCAACTGCAGCACACAGTACATAACTTGAAATAGAGCATCCATTTAACTCTTCTACCTTTTGTTGGAAATCTTAGTGATCACTCTTCTAGCAAGCTAATTTTGCAAGTATTAATATGAACCAATTCAATTACAAGATTACATGCTATTTGAGGCACCACAGTATAAAAAAGATGGTCATTAATGTGAAATAATTAAATGGCTTAACATTAGTATTAACAGTTTTAAATGCAAGCTCATATTATGCCTTTGGTTTTAATTAATTCAACCTATGAATGTCCGACCACCCTACCCAATTACAAACGTAAAGCCAAAGAGAGTGGGCTCTCTTAACTATGAAGTTACAAGTGTTAGCTTATCATGTATTTTGTACAACTACTAGCAATAATAATCCATATATAACAATTAAAACATATTTATTTGGAAATAATTAATAAATGATTAAATTCTAAATTGAATGAAGTTTAAAATAAAATACTAAATATTAAATAGAATATAAGAAAATATTTATATGACCTTAGTTTTTGCCAGTATTGTAATGTAATCTAGGAATTGCAGATTATATAAATAAATTACTAGATAAATGTATCTGATGAGACATATTATCTATACAATGATAAAAATAAACAGTAAAAGATACAATGAATAAAATCAAAAGACTACTGTTAGACTTTTAAAAATTATAGTGTTCATCACAGTTTAAAGATTAATATTCATGATAAAAAGAAGTAACTAAAATTAATTTTTTAATTTGACTTATTGTAACCTGATTAGAAATTGTAGCCTTTAAAAGAGATAATTTAATGTTTTGATGTATGCAGCTGTGAAACAGTCACTACTGTCAAAATAATGAATCTCTCCATCCCCCCTAAAATTTTCTTATGGCCCTTGGTAAAAAAATGTCTTCCTCCTAGCTATTACCATGGCCCACTTACTGTTGCAGGAAGGCCCCATAGATTAGGTTGAATTAAATGGGTAAATCAATTTCAGGAGAATTGATAACTTATCAATATTGAATCTTTCCTTCATCCCATGAACATAGTGTACGTCTCTTTTTATTTAGTCTTCTTGAATTTTTCTCAGCAAGGTTTTCTCAGCAAGATTTTCTAATTTTCAGTGTAGAAGTCTTTAATGTTGTTGCCAGATTATATCTAATTTATGTAATTTTTTACTACAAAGGGTATGATTTTGTAATTTCAACTCCTAATTGTTCATTGCTAGTAAATAAAATACAATTTTTTCTGTATCTTTTTTGTATTATTTTTCATTGATGAATTTATTTACTAATGGCTTCTATTTACTTTTTAAAGATTCCATTAAATGATTTACATAAACCAATGTCATATCCCAATGCAGTTTAACTTGTTTCTAATTTGAATGCCTTTTATCCTTTTCTTGCCTTGTTCAATTAGCCAGAACCTCCAGTGCAATGTTGACTAGAAGTGGTGAGAGCAGACTTGCCTTTTCCCTAATCTCAGAGGAATGATTCAGTCTTTCACACTGCTATGATATTTGTTGGTTTTTCATAATGACTGTTATTGAATTGAGCAAGATCTCTTCTACTTCTCTTTAGCTGAGTTTTTGTGGTCAGAAATGAATATTGGATTTTGTTAAATGTTTTTCCTACATCTATTGAGATTATTATGTGGTTTTTCATTTTTAATTTGTCATTATGATAAATTACACTGATTGATTTTTAAATATTAAACCAATATTGCATTCCTGGGATAAAGCCCATACGGCCTTACATATCTTTAATAGACAAAGTATTATTTGAAGTATCCACTACATATATCTTCTTAAGTGCACTTTGGAAGTTTTTGCCTTCCAAAAATTTTTCTAATTCCTTTAAATTGTTGAATTTATTGGCATAGTTATAATAGTCCATTACTATACTTTTAATATCTGCATAATCTGCGGTGATATTACCTCTCACATTTCTAATGCTAATAAATTTGTGTCTTCTCTTTTTAATTTTTTTAGTAATTCTTATTTATCTCTAGTGTTCATTTTGGATAGTTTCTGTTGCTACGTCTTTACATTTATTAATCTTTTCTGCAGTGTCTAAACTGTCATAATCTCAACTAGTTTATTTTTTATCTCAACCTTATGGCTTTTATCTTCAGAAATTCAATTTAGACTGTTTGTCATCAATGTCTACTTAACGGTTTCATTATGTGAAATACATTTTATCATAACTGTTTTAATGTCTTTGACAGCTAATTTTAACATTTGTATCAATTCTGGGTCAATTTACATGTGCTGATTTTTATCCTTGTTATGTATCATATTTTACTGCTTCTTCGCATGCCTGGTGATTCTGAATTGATTACCACCTTGTGCATCTTGCCATATTAAGTGATAAACATATTTATTTCTATAAATATTCTCAAACTTTATTCTGGAATGCCATTAAGTTACTTGTAAATTGTTGGACTCTATTAGGTCTTGCTTTTATAACTTTTTAAAGGCAAGACTGAAGAGCTGTTTAATATAGAGATAATTATTCACCCTCGTAGAGATAATTATTCCCTATCACTGATGCAAGATCTTTCTGAGCAGTCTACCTGATATCCATGTGAATTATGGCATTTCTAGTCTAGTTGGTCCTCCTCCACTCCTGGTTCCCTGTGAGTGCAGTGAACTGTTCCTTCTAGTCTTTTCTGGTGGTTCTTTTCCTAGCCCTAGATAGCTTCCTCCTACACAGGCACTGAATTGTTGAATACTCCAAAAAAGATCCTCTTCAGATCTCCAGTGTTGTCTGTTTTTGCAGCTCTTTGTTGTTCTTTCTGGAAGTCTAATCACCCTGGTCTCCCTTGACGGTCAACAGTGTCTCTACCACTCAGGGAGTTTGCTGGACTCTACCTAGATTACTCCTCTCTGTGCCATAATTTGGAGACTTTTTCAAGGCAATAAGACATAGGGCTTACCACAGTTGTTCCCCATACTTCAGGGATCACTAGCCTTAGTTGCCTGATGTCCATTGCTTTGAAATTTTTTAAAAATATATTTTGCCCACTTTTTTGCTTGACTCAGAGGGGAAGATAAATGTGGTCCAAGTTACTCCATCTTGACTGGAAGCATAAGTCTCTACAAATAGATTTTTAGAAATTATAAATATTTCAATATAGATAAGCAATTCAAAAAGGAGAAAATCCAAATGGCTAATACATATAAAATGATATTTACTATGAGATATAATTTTTTAACGATATGGATGTCAAAGAAAAAAATGATGGCTTGCCACTCTAAAGAAAGAATCTTTATGTTTGAAGAAAGAAGCACCTTAATATTCTGTTGATAGTCGTATAATATGATCATTATGGAAAGTCTGGCAATGTGCATTAAAATTTAAAAGTAGTAACACATCATTCAACACAATAATTCCTTTTTAGAGAATCTAATCTCAGGATATAAAGGAACCATGTAATAGAATGATAATCATAGAATTATAGTGGCAAAACGGTGGAAAACTCTAAAACATCCATAAATAAATAATCGAATGTATTAGTGAACTACAGGTATGCTGTGGAAAACTAATTAGCTACTAAAAAGAATGAGTTCTGTCTCATTGGTTTGGAGCAATGGTCATGATGTATTGTTCAGTAAAAGAGTGTGTTGGAGATGTGTCATAAAAAGATAATATTAACTTCTAAAAGAATTTATATTTGACTCACATTACTTCCTATACTGAGCAGGTATTGCTTTCACAATTTTTTAAAAAATGTAATAACAATTTAAAAATTCCAGGAAAGTTGCCAACCAGAGTCCAATATAATTTGCTAAAATATTCACCCACATATTGAAAAAATATCAATAAAGAGGGCTGCTTTAACGTGTGCATAATGAAACTTGGGAGTTAATATAATCTCCTGTTCATCTAGAATAGCAAGAGAAATTTACTCAATAGATGAATAATATAAGAACACTTGCTGATTGGTACAATTTAGCATTTATTCTGAAAACAAGGCAGTGGAAATGACAGGAGCATTTAAAATGTTTTGACATGTCCTGTATCTTTGACTTGTATGGCTCATTGCCCAAGGATATTACCATGCAATTTAAGATGAGATTACCAGTTTTCACTAATGAATTCATAATTTACATTATCTTTGTTTATACATCTCTCCTAAGTGAATTGAATTTAAAAGTTTTTTCTTGAGCATTTCTGTTCTTTCAAACTTTTCTTTACCTTTTAGTTTTCTTTTTCATTTAAACTGATTTTGAAATATGTAATCCACCTGCCTCCTTTCCCTGAATAGCTATTTTCACTTACGTTGCCATTTTATTAATTTTTGCCTTTATGGAGGGACTTGCTTGAGTCTCCTAATTTATTATAAGCATTTTACTTTGCCCTCTTTCCATCTATATTTCTACAAAATCTTCACTTGAGTCAGTATTTTGTTTTATTGGTCTTCCTTAGACCTTCATTTCATACCAGTGATACTAAAATCACTATGTCTAAACGTACTCTGACTGCACTTTTTTAGGACTGAATCCTTTCCAACTACTCAGTCAAGAATAGCTTCTGACTCAACTATTTGCCTGTAAAAATATTCTCACCCTAGACCTTAATCTTCCAAGGATAAATAGCCAAAAAACATTTTTTACATTTCATAATTTGTTGTAGTCCAAAGATTCTCTACAACTTAAAAAGTGCATTCACATATACTTAGCACTTCATGATTTATTTTTTAACTAAAATTCTTTAAAGAAATAAGGTAAGGTAGATGTAACAGACTTACCTTATTGTTTCAAATAGGTGGTATAGGAGAGTAGGCAATTCTGTAATCCCCCTGGGGAGCATAAGAACTAACATTTATCAGGTGCTCAGTATGTGCTAGATACCATTTTGAGCAATTTACATGTTTAATCCTTCTAACATCCATATTATATTGCTTATTACTATTATTGATCTATTTTATGATATGTAAATTTAGGCCCCAGAATGACTAGCATTTCACGGTAAGCCACAAAGTGTCAATGTCTCTCACCCAGGCAATGGGGCCACACAGTGATATTCATAATTGCTGCATGAAACAACCTCTCCAGAATCTAATACACATAATTTCAGCTCACAGTTTTAAAATTTAATTTCTGAAAATTGGCATGACACAAATAAATTTTATCATGAAATTAAGCAATGCAAATTTTACCACTGTATAGTAATGCTATAGTCATGCGTTTTATCTACTTTAAGCTCTTGGGGTCATATATCTTCAATTGATTTTGGTTCCAACTCGAAATCCATAAAAATAGATTTTCTCAAACCATTCGTAGAATCATAAAAGAGGAAAAAAAGAGTACTAAAGTGATATTTTTACCCCATGTGCCTTTGAAACATTTAGTGTTAAGAGTACCATGTGTAGAATAGTAGATATTACATCTTCCCAAAAAGACAGAGCAGATCTTCTTTTATTATTGCTTATGTATGCCAACCAGTGGTTTTCAAAATTTGAAAGGTGTGATGGTTTGGTGGGGTTTTTTTTTGTTGTTGTTGTTCTTCAGGTTTTTTTAAGATTTTACATCACAGTGAACATGGCCAGAAATAATTTAAAATGAAGAAATTAAACAAAATAATACCTGTTAGAAGGAAGACACTAAATGAAAGACCATGTTGTAGTCATGTTTCTACAAATAGAAGTTATACAAAAAAGTAGTCAATACATTAGAATTGAGGAAAAAAATGGTCTTCTGAGCTAGCTGGTTTACAAAAATGATTGTGACATTACAGTTTTATCTAATCACACTGTAGAATTTAGACCTCATCAAGCTCTGCACAGTCGATTCCCAATGTGCCTACAAATGACTATACTGTCATTTATTGCCCATTTTGCTATAATGTGAGCTACTCAACCCCATTTTTCTCATGCCCTTAGCCACATTTCTACTGCTTTGCTAACCCTTTTTTGGATTCTTCAGATGTCTTCCTTTTGTATTTCTTTAAAAAATTGTACTCACATATGCAATCATATATTTTATATAAACCCATTCTGCTGTGTATTTGACATATCTATTCATCTAATCCTTGCCCTCAGTTTTTATTTCCTTTCTAATTTCATACAGTCTTGTTCCCATAAATGTGTTCTAAATAGACACACATAAATGTAAATGAACATGTATGAGGATGGTATGTGGTTACCTAGAAGCTCGCCATATAGTTGAATTGTCTTCAAATCTCCAGAAGTGGGGTCAAGTTTTATTTAACTCTATTTAGAAATTTAAAAAACAGGTTGTAGAGAGAAGAAACCTGATTTCCGTAATGCCACATAGACTCTAAACTAGAGCTCAGAATTCCTGTGTTCAGGCCTAAAAAGCAGCCTATCTAATTTATCTATGTAATTTGCTTACTTAGTCTCAATTCATTAGACAGCTAAAATGCACACATTTTACATGCATGTCAAACACACACATACACCACCACCAGCACCAACAGTAGCAGCAATAATACCAGTTTCACAGCAAAGGCAATATTATATTCTTTGATTACCTCTTCTTTTCTCAGAAAGAGCACATTGATTCAGAATAGCACCCATACAGCCTGTCTTAGCTCAGACTGTCCTAACGGAACACTATAGACTGGGTGGCTTAAACAACACACAGTTCTGAAGGTTGGAGGTCCAAGATAGTTGGGTTCTGGTGAGGGATCTCTTCCTAGCTTGCAGATGGCCACCTTTTCACTGTGATTTTACATGGTGGAGAGAGAGAGGGAAAGAGAGAGTATGTTTTGGTGTATCTCCTTATAAGGGCAATAATCCCATCATGAGGGTCCCCTTCCTAACAACATCCAAACCTGGTTTCCTCTCAAAGGCCCCACCTCCAAATAATATCACATGAGTGGTTAGTTAACATTTGAATTTGGGAGGGGGACATAATTCAGCCAATAGCATAGTCCCTTATAATGTATGCAGAGTAATGGACTTAAAACTCTGATTTAGGCATCTATGAGCTATTGATTTCGGAGTTCTTCGTTTTGAATAGGTCTCAGCTGGCAAAATGTCAGAACAAGAAGAAAATTAAAAAAGGAATAACTTAAATGGTATAAAGATGAGAAATGCAAGCCATTGAAAGTGTTTTCTACCACATAATCCCTGCTTGTGATTTGACTCACATTTATCATTTAACCTCTGAGTCCATAAATGGGGTAATAATCCTCCAATACTTCATCATTCGCCGATGCGCCATAAAGATGACTTTGGTCTGTTTAGATGCACTTAGGGCTCTTTGGAGATCAGAAATGTATATGGAGGAGCCTTCAATATCTTCCTATCCCTAAAGAGGAGGGAGAAAGTACTTATTTAGCAATATGACTTTTTAAATCTTGAATAGGCTGTTTCAACTTGATGAAATGGTCGATATTTCATAACATTATGCTATTGAAATCATATTCTTATCAATCAAAACAAATTAATTGATCTTTTATTTTTAGAGTAGTTTCACACTCACAGCAAAATTGACAGGAAGGTAAAGAGATCTCTTACATACCCCTTTTCCCTCAGTCTTCCCTACCATCAACAACCTGCACCACAGTGGTATAGTTGTTACAATATCAGTGAAATACATTGACACATCATTGTCTCTCAAAGTTCATAGTTTACATTAGGGCTTATTGTGAATGTTGTACATTCTTTGGGTTTGGGCAAAGGCATGACATCTATCTGCAATTATAGTATCATATAGAATAGTTTCATTACCTGAAATTTTCTGTGCTCCACCTATTCATTCCATCCTTCCCCTAACCCCTGTCAATCACTGATGCATTATTGTCTCTGTAATTTTGCTTTTTCTAGAATGTCATATATTTTGAATCATATAGTATGTGACCTTTCAGATGGAATTCTTTCACTTGATATATACATTTAAGCTTTTAATATACATTTAAGTACATTTGAGCTTTAAATATACATTTAAGCTTTTTCCATTTCTTTCCTTGGCTTCATACAAACTCATTTATTTTTATTGCTGAATTAACATTTCATTTTCTAGATGCACACAGTTTACTTGTCCATTCACCTACTGAAGGACATCTTGGTTGCTTCCAAGTTTTGGCAATTATGAATCAGGCTGCCTATAGACATTTGTGTGCAGGTTACTGTGCGCATGTAAGTTTTCAACTCGTTTGGATAGATAACGAGCACAATTGCTGGATCATATGGTAAGAGTATGTTTAGTTCTCTAAGAAACTGTCAAACTGTGGTTCTAAGTTTCAATATCATTTTGAATCCCCACCAGCAAAAAAAAAAAAAAAAAAAAAAAATACAGAGTTCCTGTTTCTCCACATCCTCACCAGCATTTGGTGGTGTCAGTGTTCTGGATTTTCCGTATTCTAATAAGTACATAGTGGTGTCTCACTGTTTTAATTTGAAATTCCCTAATGACATATGATTTTGAGCATCTTTTCATACACTTACTTGCCTGACCTATTTGTCTGACCTAATACCACTTTCACCCTTGCTCACTAAATTCTGTACGTCTGTACATCTTTGATGAAGTGTATGTTGAGATCTGCTCACTTTTAAGTTGTTTGTTTTCTTCTTGTTGATTTGTAATGAGTTTTTTGTATATTTGGGATGACAGTCCTTGATCAGATATGTCTTTTGCAGATATATTTTTCCAAGTCTGTGGCTTGTCTTCTCATTCTCTTGAAATCCAGATACATTTAAAAATTCATCCTGCATCATTTTTCACTTTTTTAACTAAGTTAGTGTTTGCATTGATAGCAATGATAAATATAAAAGTTCCTTTGTAATACTGAGGCAGAACTTGACAATTTTTCTAATAGTGACATATATATATATGTATAAATATACCACAGTTACATTCTAAATATGGATAAAACAAAGGTTGAGATATCTGGAAAGTTTGGGTGGAGTCCCAAAACTCCAGTTGTGTTGCAAATAATTTAAAGGAATAGCAAGAGTAGTTTTTTGAGAATAGAATTCTCTGTCTTTACATGTACAGCTTTGCCTGTATAAAATTCAATAACTTAAAACAATACAGGTCTGTAGATCAACAACATTTTACAAATATCTTTTAGCTTTTCAGAGCAAGGCCATATGAAAATCTCTCAAACTGAATTCTAAGCCTCAGATGGCTGATTTGCAGGCATCAGGAGAATTAAGTTTAGAATTAAGTGTTTCGGAAACCTGTGGAAATCAAATCTCTTGGAAAATGTTTTTGACCATTACAAAATAAGAATCGGGGTATGCATATTTAATTTATAAATTACCTGTATGGTGAGAAAGGGAAGAGATCACAGATCTGCTCTGTACTTACTGATGCTTTGGAAGCAATATCCACGACAGTACAGAAGACAGCCAATTAATGGCTTTTGTGGTTTGCTAAATGCCTGAGTAAAATTGAGGTGTTTAATACCACAAAAGCCCTTTGCTACCACTAAAGTCCTAAGACTTCAATCTCAATTCATAGTCTATATCAACATTAAAGCTGATACAACAAACCAAAGCATAAAACTCTTTTTGTAACATTATCTTTCTCCTCGAGAGGGTTTGTTGATAGTATTTTTAAATCTGGTTTTTAAAAATATTCTTTTCTGTTTCCCTCACTGACTTTGCAGCAAAGAAGTGCATAAAATGAGATGGCATGGAAAGCAAATTGTTATTTGAGTAGGAGTTTTATGAATAAATTATTATATAAATAGGCATTCGGCCACATTTCCAGGTGTACATAGCACCCTAATCATTTGTATTTTGATTCTACTATAGGACAATAAAAATTCAGTAGCCTGCCTTCCTCTTGCTATCACAAAAAGCCCCTTCATGAGAAGATCTTATGGCGACACCTTGAGAAATACTTAGTTGAGTCATTATGACCACCTTCCTATTTTCCTTATACAGAAATGAGGACAGATATGACTTGTTCACAGGGACAAAACTAGTTAATAGCAAAACTTGAATTCTGCCCTCATTCCAACTTCCATTGCCTTTTGTCTGGATTGTTATAAGAGTCTTCTGTAGTAATTGGGTTTCTGTAGAACTGTTTGACATCCCTCCAACCCCAGTTCCTCATCCACATTCCTAAGAGTGATCCTTCCAAAGGCCATTGTGGTGATATGCCTTCTTGTGAGGACTCATTACCTTAAGAACACAAGGCTCCAATCTTCCAGCCTGGCTTCCATCTACACACCCTTCTACTGTCCACTCCTGACATAATGCTTAGGAAAACTGGGTTATTATTTTGGATTGGATTATTATTATTGTGACTATTGTCACAACTATCTTCTAACTCCGTTACTTTTCTGTCATGGCTTCGTGACTTCACACATGGACATCTACCTGGATTGCTCGTTTTCATCTCTTAACTGACAAGTTCTCAACTCTGTTTTTGATCATTGGATGTCTTCATGTAAACATATTTATTTCCTTTTTATGATTAACAGACTATGTATTTTGTCTTTTTAATTTTTTCCTAAGCAAGATTATTCATGATTTTCCAGTCTACTCAGAAGACAGGCTATCTACAGAAGACAGAAATCACATCACACTGAAATATTCCCAATTTAAGAAGTCTCTTTGTTTAGAAATGCTTTTTAAAAAGTATTATTATTATACTTTAAATTTTAGGGTACATGTGCACAACGTGCAGGTTTCTTACATATGTATACATGTGCCATGTTGGTGTGCTGCACCCATTAACTCGTCATTTACATTAGGTATATCTCCTAATGCTATCCCTCCCCCCTCCCCCTACCCCACAACAGACCCCGGTGTGTGATGTTCCCCTTCCTGTGTCCATGTGTTCTCATTGTTCAGTTCCCACCTATGAGTGAGAACATGCAGTGTTTGGTTTTTTGTCCTTGCGATAGTTTGCTAAGAATGATTTGCTTCCCTATCTAAAATTAGAGATAGAGAAGAGGGAAGCCCACATTCAGTAACTTTTCCAGCTCAGTGATGGCACTACAATTCAATCAGTTGCACAAACCAAAAATTTGGAAGACAGCTTTAAGTTCATTTTTTTTTCATTATTTGCCATATCTAATCCATCAGCAATGATCTAATGGCTCTTTCTCTCCACCACTTATAATGGTACTGGTAAAGATGACTGCAGTGCCTAATGCATGTATTGCTTATAATGGTGTCTTAGCCCCTCTCTCCTTGTTTCCAGTCTAGTCCTACTTTAATCCATTTGTGTCATGGCAGCCAGAATACTCTCTTTGAGATAAAAACTGGTTATTTCACTGTCCATCTTAAATATTCCTTAGGCCTTCTGTTATACTTACAATAAAGTCCAGAAGCACTACCATGATACAGAGCCTACCTACTTGTCTGACCTAATATCATTTACACCCTTGCTCACTAAATCTTTGATACATATGCACTGGCATTCTCCCTGTTCCTCAAAGATGCTCAGCTCCTTCCTGTCTTTTGCATTCCATTTACCTGGAAGACTAGTGAACCAGATCCACACATGACAGACTCCTTTTCATTTGGGTCTCAGTTCATATATTACCTCTTTGAGTAGGGCACTGCTGACTTCCCATCTAAACCAGCCTCCCCAGTCTCTCAATCCTGTTGCTCTGTTTCTTTTTTTCACAGTATTACTCTCTGAACTAAGATTACTTATTCCTTTTTTTCAGTCTTTCCCCACATTAGAATGTAAGCTCAATGAGGGATTTTTTACTGTATTTTTATCACCTAGAACGTATATATAAATAAGCAAGCATATTTGTTTTATTTACTATATATAATATTCATATATTTAATAATAATATATTTCTTCACTGAGGAAGGCAATAAAGGAATCCCAAATGCTCCCTTCCTGCCCTTTGGAATGCATGCCTGGTTATGTTTGCACAAGTTCAACAGAAACCCAGTTTTCTGCCCCCAGTGCTGAGCAGTATGAGCTTGTTCCAGTACTCCACATCTTAGAACAATATAAAAATCCCACCTCAGGCAAAGGACAGGAGCATTGTGGGTAGTATCTAGATATTGATTAAAACTGAATTTCCTTTAGCTGATCTCCACTTCTTGAGATCCTATCATTTCTCTTATTGGATGAAAAAGAATCAAAGTGTACATTAATCATAGAGTATATAAATGGCCTTATACAACTAAGTGGTTACCTTCTCCTAATCAGAGTTTGAAGAATGAATTTTAAAAACGAATAAGGAAAGGGGTTGGGGAAAATTTATGACTTGCATTCTGACTCTTGATAGCATGGTCTTCTCCCATGTCTGTGATGAAGGCACTTGATAGACACAAGCAGCTTAGCAGTTTGGCTTAATGGTCTTAAAGTACCTCATATTGAGAGTGATTCCAAGAGAGCAGGCGTTGTGGTTGCTCTTTGAGATATGGCGTTGGAGACGGAAGAGATCCAAGAACTGAAAGGAGCCTTAGAAAACAACAATCATTCCCATGATTGCTAAGAATATCTTGTAACTTCTTTGCCGTAAATCCTTTCTGTAACATACAGAATAGGATTGAGTCTGACCACTTGCTATGTATGTCTATTTTGCAGAGGACAGAAAATGGGCTGCCTGATTCAGCTGACTGTAGTGCTCTTGCAGAGAGCTATATAGATGGTCTGTGGAATTAGCAGATCTTGGGGAAAGCCTGAGAGCAGAGAGATGTCACATCACCCTTCAGAGGAGAACCTAGTTGTACCAGTTGCTCTGTCATGGGCCCACTAGAGCAAAGAACCCAGGTCTTCCCTATTTTGATTTGCCCCTGCTAGAAAGGCTTGAACACAAGACACATTTGGAAGCTGAGTGAATTCACCTCAAAGACAGGCAAATACAATTTACAACCATTGAAAGGACTCAGCTAATTGAGGACAAGAAGCCCAGCTGAACAATTCAACAGATGTTTCCTATTGAGGCAGAACCAATGGAAGCAAGGAAAAGAATAAATGACATATACCTAGGTCTTCTAAATATAAATCTGTGTTCTTTTCATTTTGTAATTCTAATTTATCTTTTTTGGGGGGAACTTTGACATCATATTTTGACACATCTTTTTGATGTATTTTTTTCCAAATACTTTTTCACTGTATTGTACTGTATTACATTTTACAAGTTCATTTCTTCAGTTACTGACAATGGAAATAAAGTTTTTCATCATTTTCTCCTTTATTTTGTAAGTATTTATCAGCTAGAATGCTTCACTTAACATTCTTAACCCTTGTCTGCTCTCTCTCCCTCTTGCTTGGCTTTGCTAATTTTCTGTGTTAGATTCACTTTCCCCATCTGACAATTGTTGTTGCTTTATGTTGGTTAGAAAAAGTGGCGCAATAATTGTTTTTAAGGACTATCCTATTCTAATATGATTAAATATTCGGAAAGAATAGTATGAATAGTATGCAGGGTGTTTTTTTTTTCAATATTGAATTTGGGGGGAGCTGGAAACTGCAAGCCAAATAAAAGGATAATTTTTGTGAAGTGGCATTCATGGCAATATTGTATACTCTTTACAAAGAGCTTCAAGAAAGTTGCTATGACAGAGTAGCTTGTCAAAAATACAGCTAGAAGGAATAATCACAGCATTTTAATTTGGGGAAAAATATAGGAGAATTTCTAGGAGGGATTTTCTCATGAAGAAATATAGCAAATGTCCTTCTTTCTAAAACAAAAATGTAGAATTTAACACTTTAAAAATAAAACAAAAAGCAGCAGCCACTAAATAACTGGTATTATATTGTAAATAATTTAAATATTTTAAACCAACAAAAAGGATCAAAGTTGAATTGAGCATGCACTGATTCAGAGAGTATTAAAGAAGGCTTCGATCCTTGCGTACTATTTTATTGAAATGTTTCTTTAATTGTTGTTTACCATTACATTACATGAACAAGTGTAGGGATCTAGTCATCTACATGCACTTTAACTCCCCTGGATCAGAACTTTCCTCCACTGTCTCCCCAGAACCTACATTAGTGGCTGCTACTTATTTGCTCCTCAGAAATGCACTGACTACATAAAAGGACGATTTATTTAGCAAAACTCCTTCAGGAACTTAAAAACATCTAACAGGTTAAATGCATCCCTGTCTTGAATATATAAATTTTCCACGTCCAGAGGAAGGCCTAGAATTCCTAGGTTATTGGTAAAATATCACCCACGGGACCTATATCCTATCAACCTCTTTTATGCATAGAATGTGTACACTTTTCTCTCAGTGTTTCTTTATCATTATAGTTTCTTTGTTAAGAATTTGGGCCCAAGAGATCATACTGAGAACTATCAATTCTGTGTTAACAAAGAGTTCATTTTATATACTTTTAAATAAAGGTGGATAACTTGCTGAAGTATTAAATCAACGCCTATTTTGACTTTAAATGAAATAAAGCTCGTATATCATGTGTACAATAATTTGCCAAGAAAATTTATTGAAAAAAGTAGTTGTTTTGACTTTACCTAGACAAATGGAACTTGTTACTTTCAGAATTACAAGTCAAATCTGTCGTTTAATATTATCTAAACATTTATCTACTATCCTGAATTTAACCTGAAGAGTGATTGATTTTCTAGGGTAGGATGGATAAAAGCATAACACCAAGTACGTAAGTTTTTTGTTGCTCATTCACAATGTCTGAGGCCTTAAAACCTTGTGTGGCCAAAGTTAAATAAAATCAAATAAAACAAGATAGAAAATAAGCCTTTCCAATCTTCCTGCAAAATGTCTACATACTGTCTGTATTGGTACTATCTTATTCTCTGATGATGAGTAATGGGCAATGTGACCTTAGTAATGGGAAAATAAGATAAAACATTGTTTAGGTACAGACATTTACAGTCACTCACCATTTAAGATACAAAGCCAACAACATTTTGACTTTGTGATATCCAATCTTCCTTGATGAATAAGTTTTATAAAGCCTTTATACAAAACTTATGCAGAGCCATGCACCAAGCAGATGCTTAATAAATCTTAATTGACTGCTCTTTGACTACATTTTAATAATGCGTTTTTTCTGGTTCTGAGCCTGGGCTGATTAAAACTCACCCTGTGTTGGCTAAGAGATGTTATTTAATAGCATGTTCTGTTTTGCTAAATAACATCCACCACAGCGCTAGTTGTTTTCTGAAATAGCTTCCTACCCATTCCAACTTAGTTGCAAGTCTGATATTGTGCAGGACCCAACACTTCCCACACCTTCTTTACTATTCCGGTAAAAGCGCCCTAATCTGTTTGTAGGAGCTGAGAAAATTCCAGTTCTCTTTGTCATGGCCCAGAAAGGCTAAAGACTACATATCATTTCCCTACGTATCATTTCCGATGATTTCTGAAAGTCTTGGCATTGCCAGAGCTGAGTATATGTTCACATGTTACCAGTGGCTATAAACACAGTTTTAAATGTGCAGCACCAGCGTCCATTGTATCCTCAGAAGAAGGAATTTGGCAGGAAAATGGTCCCTCACTGCACCACCAGGTAGCCTGTCTACACCTGTCATTACCTGGCATCCATATGCAAGTGAAATAATCTTCCCAATTTGTATTTGGGCAAAATGCCATCATAACAGATGGACATGAGTGTACGTAACTGGGGAATTATGCATATACATTAAATATGCAGACTATGAGCTAAGTCCTTTGGAACATCCAAACATCTGTCTGCTCTGAGCTTTTGTGTATACTGTTTACACCATATGGTGTCACGATGGGAGGGCCTTGTCAGAGAGGCAAAAAGGAGCAGTCATGAATTTCATGGAAATTATTTCATAGGGGGAATTGGCCTTACCTTGGACAAAAGGAACATGTAAAATTATTGTGAATATCTTTGCTATTACTTCAAATAACAAGGTTTTAAAATTTATTTTGGTAGCAAAAAAGCGAATTATTTGGACATTACAGGAAAATAAATATAAAATCCAGATCAATTATAAAAAATATCTATGAGGCCAGGCACGGTGGCTCATACCTGTAATCCCAGCATTTTGGGAGGCTGAGACGGGCGGATCACTTGAGCTCAGGAGTGCGACACCAGCCTGGGCAACATGGCAAAACCCTGTCTGTACCAAAAATACAAAAAAATTAGCTGGGCATGGTGGCCTGCACCTGTGGTCCCAGCTACTCAGGAGACCAGGGTGGGAGAATCTCTTGAGCCTAGGAGGTGGAGTTTGTAGTGAGCTGAGATCATGCTCCTGCACTCCAGCCTGGGCAACAGAGAGAGACCCCATCTCAAAAAAAAAAAAAATCTATATATGATACGCATGTGCTATTTAAGCCCCAGTAGATTCTTTAAAGGTTCACTCTAATTTTAGTCTTTTCTGTCTGAAATCAAAGCCATAGATTAAACTAATCATCATTTTTAAAGCTACTTTATAATTCATCTTGTAAGAGGAATTTTCTTTGAGTGTGGATATTTTATTTACTGCAGGTATATGCCAAAACAGTAAAGCATTCTTTACTATTTGAAGTGTGGAATCCCGGTAATTTGTAATTCTATCTAACATACCATTAAGGTTTATCCCTAGATATAACTTACATTTTTTTGACAAGTGGAGCATTATCTTCATAATACGGGTAGGCCTAGGGATTATTTAAATTTTGTACTATTCTAGTTTTCCAGAAAAATGGAATACATATGTCAATTTTTCTTTTATTATGTATTGATTTTTTTTTTTTTTTTTTGAGACGGAATCTCACTCTTTTGCCCAGGCCAGACTGCAGTGGCGCTATCTCAGCTCACTGCAAGCTCCGCCTGCCGGGTTCATGCCATTCTCCTGCCTCAGCCTCCCAAGTAGCTGGAACTACAGGCGCTCACCACCACGCCCGGCTAATTTTTTGTATTTTTAGTAGAGACTGCGTTTCACCGTATTAGCCAGGATGGTCTCGATCTCCTGACCTTGTGATCTGCCCGCCTCGGCCTCCCAAAGTGCTGGGATTACAAGTATGAGCCACCACGCCCAGCCTATGTATTGATTTTTAATGACTGGAAATTAAATTTTCCACTAAAAATTAATTTTTCCATTCATTCTAAATTGCCATAGCTTTACCTTCCTTTGTCTCTTTTGTCCTTATTCACATACTTAGGTAAATATTTGTCTATCTCTAACTCTTTATCTCTCCAGGATGTTTTAATACTAAAGTAATAAAACAATACTAAAATAATATTATGTATGTATAAATTATCTCATTACCATTTATGAACTCATATTTTTACTTTTTAATGAATATCTATGTTAGCAAGTTGAGCATAAAATTTATAAATGCTATAAAACTATAACCACTCATTCATATGTGTTGTATGACTCCCAAATCTTAGAACTCAATACTATTCAAGTGAACTAATATGTAGTATATTTCTGATGATAATGTTTCCAAGCTAAACTTGGAATAATTTGTTTACTCAAATCTGTAAAGTTTTATATAACTGAAGCATCAGCAACACATGCAACAAATAAACATCAACAGGATGTTCTAGTTTCAGCTAGACTCCTGTACTAATGAATGAAGATTAATTCAAAGTTAGACTTAATGCTTAAGCAAGGACTGGAAAAAAGCACTATAATATAAAACTTTGAGGGTTTAGAAAATTGTATATGTTCTAAAAACAATGCACAAGAACAAAGGTACCAAGAACATACATTAGGGAAAAGACAGTCTCTTTAATAAATGTTGCTGGGAAAACTGGATAACCATATAAGGAAGAATGAATCTGGACTCCTGTCTCTAACCATATACAAAAATAAAATCAAAATAGATAGAAGACTTAAATGTAAGACCTCAAACTATGAAACTACTAAAAGAAAACATTGAGGAAACTGTCTATGACATCAGTTTGGGGAAAGATTTCTTGAGTAATACTTCAAAAAGCACAGGCAACTAAAACAAAAATGGATAAATGAGATCACAGAAAGCTAAAAGGCTTCTGCACAGCAAATGAAACAATCAACAAAGTGAAGAGACAATACACAGAATGGAAGAAAATATTTGCAAATTACCTATCTGATAAGGGATTAATAACCAGAATATATAAGGAGCTCAAACAACTCAATAGGAAAAAAGCAGATAATCTGAGTTTAAAATGGTCAAAAGATCTGAATAAGCATTTCTCAAAAGAAGACATACAAATTGTCAACAGGTATGTGAAAAAAATGCTCAACATTATTAATCATCGGAGAAATGCAAATCAAAACTGCAATGAGATATCAACTCACCCCAGTCAAAATGGCTTTTCTCCAAAAGACAAGCAATGCTGGCAAGGAATTGGAGAAAGGGAAACCCTCATACACTGTTTGGTGGGAATGTAAATTTGTACCAGCACTATGGAGAACAGTATGGAGGTTCCTCAAAACACTAAAAATAGAACTGCCATATGATCTAGCAGTTCCACTGTTAGGTATACATATCCAAAAGAAAAAAAAAAAAGCAAACTAGTATATCAAAGAGATATCTGCACGCCCATGTTTATCGCAGCACCCTTCTCAATAGCCAATGTTTGGAATCAGCCTAAGCATCCATCAGTGGATGAATGAAAAAAGAAAATGTGGTTGGTATACAGGATGGAATATTATTCTGCCATAAAAAGAATAAAATCCTGTCATTTGCAACAACGTAGATGGAAACTGTCGTCAGGTTAAGCAAAATAAGCCTGGCACAGAAATACAAATTTTACATGTCCTCACTCATATGTGAGAGCTAAAAATTAAAAAAATTGAACTCATGGAGATAGAGTAGAATGATGGTTACCAGAGACCAGGAAGAATAGTGGGAAGGAGGGGGGGAAGTTGGGATGGTTAATGGGTGCAAAAATATAGTTAGATAGAATGAGTAAGATCTAGTATTTGGTAGCACAATGAAGTGAATATAGTCAACGATAATTTATTGTATAATTTAAAATCACTAAAAGAGTGGAACTGGAATGTTCCTAACACAAAGAAATGACAGATGCTTGAGGTGATAGATACCCCAATTATCCTGATGTGATTATTACAAATCATATACCTATATCAAAACATCACATTTACTCTATAAAAATATATACATATTATATACCCATAATAATTGAAGATAAAAATTTTAATAGCAAAAATTATAATGCACAGAATATGTTCAGTCTAGACAGTATTTAAGAGTTCAGCTATCCCTAGATTTGGACGTTTTAAAAAATGTTTTCCGCCAGGCGCGGTGACTCACGCCTATATTCCCAGCACTTTGGGAGGCCGAGGCGGGTGGATCACCAGGTCAGGAGTTCAAGACCAGCCTGGCCAAGATGGTGGAACCCCGTCTCTACTAAAAATACAAAAATTACCCAGGCGTGGTGGTGGGCACCGGTAATCTCAAGAGGCTGAAGCAGGATAATCGCTTGAACCCGGGCCGCAGAGGTTGCAGTGAGCCGAGATCATGCCACTGCACTCCAGCCTGAGCGATAGAGTGAGACTCCATCTCAAAAAAAAAAAAAAAAAAAGAAAAGTTTTGTTCCATATTTTTTTTAAGCATTTAGGTGCCTCATTGCTATAAATAATGTGGCACATATGTTTTGATTGTCTAATCAGGAAAACCAGAATTTATTAAAAATCTGGGTAATTTAACATTTAATGATAAAGATATTGCAAATGATAAATCAACTATTTTCTGTGATATAAATTTGCATTAAAATTATGATTAGAAAAGTTCTGTCTCTATACATAATTTTACTGTTTTCTTACAGTCTTCATCCTTCAGTTATCACAAGTATGTGTAGTTGACACTCAAATATACTCCTTTAACCCAGATCTGAATTTCTAAGATAAGCCTGAAGGTCTCTCTGACATTTTAAACGTAAGGTTATTCGAATCAAATATGAATGCTCCACCTTCAATTTTTTTTTTTCATTCCTCTTTTTCTCTGGCTAATGAGTCATTATACGTCTAGCTATTTCTGCACCTAGAAACTTCATTTGTTTCTACCTTTCCCATTCATACCATATATTTTCTACTAGAGCACTCTTACGTGGCCTGTGATTGCCCATATTCTCTCTCTCTCATACCCTACTACACACATGAATGCACTAGTCTTTTCATTATTGCCACAATTTCTCTGTGTCAGCCAATTTGTTCCAATCTCTGGCTCAAAATATGGTTTGTGTTTGCCCATCTTCATGAGTCTTTGTTATTTTCTTATTAAGTAAAGTATTGAAAAAATTGGGCAACATACAATTTATTTTCTTAAAAATACTCATTGCTATCCTTTTTGGTCGTCAGTAATCAGTTTCATGTTTAACCATTCTCTAACCACTTTAAAGTAAAAGAGTAACAAGCAGTCCAATTTAATCATACATAGTATAAAGTATGTTGAATGGGATAGGCTCAACTATCATTATCATGAATGGATTTACCAAAGCTCTCAGCCTTGTGATCTTAGGAACTTGATTTTATCAGCAGCCTATATATTAGTTTGGGTCCTCCAAGAAGCAGATGTAATAATGGGATTGAACATATAAGAGTTATGTTAGGAAAATCTTCTTGTGACAAAAAAAGAAGGAGCCAAGGAAGGCTGGAGACCCCTCACCCTACAATGTCTGACCTCGAGGAAAGAGCGGTGGAATCCTTACGGATTGCCCTGGTGCAATGAAGTTATAAGGTAAGTTCAGCAGTGCTATTAAGGAATCCCCAGAGGCATAGTTAGAGGAATCCTGTGTGGCCAGGAATGGATCTGTGTTAGCATTTAACTACATTTGGTTATCAGCTGGGAGAAGCTTTTGGGTAGCATAGCCTTGGAAGCAATAGGATTTTAGAGCACAGCAACTGAAGTCTTTGGTCAATTACATCTGTAGTTGCTGGTCTGTATTCTCTTGGCCACCACAACTCTCACAGGTGATTTATTTCTCAAAGTATAGCCCTCTAGCTAAGCTCATAAGAAATTTGGTTACATTATATTAGTTGCTTTGCTTACACTACTAATTAACCTGCAGTGTCAAATATTCATATTAATAAGAATAAGAAATCCCCTCCATGTTAGTAGATTTCTGTCTAGGAGCTGAACTCCAATGCAGTTGAATTGGTGAGCATGGACTCTGAGCAAAGATTTAAATGGGCAATTCAAACTGTAGTGACACCAGATATGACATTCGGATATATTCACCTCCAACTAAGGCTACACCTGCTCCAAGAAACATTCAGATCACACATGGACCCAAGAACTCCCCCTCTAGGCAGGGCTGGAGAGAGGCTGCTGAAGTACGCTCCTGAAATATATCTCTCATGTACCATGCTGACTGGTCCCCTCTGTATTTGTTAGCTTTTGCACAAAACAAACCACCGCAATACTTACTAGCATAAAGCAGCGATTTATTATCTATTTCTCCAGATTCTGGGGTTGGCCAGGTGATTTTTCTGACTGCACCAGCTTGACTGGGACAGGATGGCTTAGGATATCTGGAGATTCAATCCTCACTGTTATGTTTGGGTGCTCGGACATGATGGCAGGGAGAGCAGGGATGACTGGAGCCTTTCTTCACGTTACCTCTCATCCTTCAGAAAGCTAGCCTAGCCTTCTTCACCAGGTGGCATAAGGGTTTCCAGTAAGAAGAAAAGGAGAGCTCCAATACACAAGCACTTTTCTAATCTCTGCTTCTTTTCATGATGTTTTAGCTAAGGCAAATCACATGGCAAATCTCAGAGTCAGTGTGGTGGAAACTATCTAAGGATATGGATGCAGGGAATCCTGAACAAATTGGCTTAGTCTGTGACACCATCTGATTAATATGTTGCTCTTCCTCTCTCTCTTCCCCAGCCTCCTTGACTTCATCCTTTTCCTCCTATTCCTCATTCTTCTTCTTCATCTTATTATTATAAAATGAATAAGATCATATCTACATTCTTATATTTTCTGATTCTGGTGTAAAAAATATTTATGCTCTAAGGTACACTTCTATATATGTTGAATTCAATTGCAATTTGTTAAAATGTTTATTCTAACCCTCAGTCTTGCCAACAATGACAATCCATCTCTTCCTACAACTCATAAGCACCCCGAGTATCCATGTGTTTTCCTCAGAGAAGAAGCTGCAAAGATCCCCTTTGAAACTGGAAAACATTACATTGCAAAATTATGGGATTAATGTTTCATTTTGATAGTACCTGGTCAGTTCACTCAGTAGTGGCAATTCATTATATTTCCTGATTCTAATAAAATAATAGACATGTTTATTCTTAAGTTTAGTTGTTTGAATGAGAAAATTATGAGGTAGAAATTGAATAATATATGGCTTGTTAGAAACTATAATTTTCTACTCTATGTCTCTTTTGTCAGCTAACTGTGTTGAGGCTATTATCACTATAATCAGGTGCTGAAGAATATAAACATGAAAGCAACATGCTAAAAATAAAATTAAGTGAAATGCTTTAGGGCTTTTTGCTTGTAATCAAGGCAGTTTCTAGAGCATGAGGTAAAGCTGTGCCAAAGAAATCCTTGTAGGCTGAATGCTTCCCTGCCATTTTCTAGACAGAGGTGTGTGGGTGACCCTACACAGTCTTCATCAATACCACACATATGCAGAGCTACGTTGACATCGTTTGGTGCAGATGATAATATTAATTTTTAGTCTCACTGCTAGGCCTCAAACATCATATCTGTTAGCCAAACCTCTACAAATATAGTGTTAACTCCTGGACCCCTCTCTTCACCACTAGAAGAGCCACTAGATTGATTTCACTTAAACTATGTTTCCAGAATAATAATTGATCAGATTGGCCATTTGGCACAAATAACCAGTTACTCAATTTTGTACTATTCAACCAGGGGTGTGTGAGAGTGTGTGTGTGTGTGTGTGTGTTGATTAGTAAAAAGAGAAACAGGTGATACTGGCACTTGTTTTTTGAAGGTAGCATTTACCTGTAATGATTCAGCTCCACTCTTGGGTCCTCTTGAATTGGCTGGTGTATTTCCACCCTGATAAAGGAAAAGTCCCTTTGACTTTGACTGAATCTCTGGTTGTTATTGTGAAATTTACCTTTTTCTCTGGCTCTCACTTTCCCTTAGCCTAATACTGGAACTCATAGAAAATTTGTTGTGTTTAAATATTTCACACTGCGGCCAGACACGATGGCTCATGCCTGTAATCCCAGCACTTTGGGAGGCCCAGGTGGGTGGATCATTTGAGACCAGGAGTTCGAGACCAGCCAACATGGCGAAACCCTGTCTCTACCAAAAATACAAAAATTAGCCGGGCATGGTGGTGTGCCTGTAATTCCAGTTACTCCAGAGGCTGAGATAGGAGAATTGCTTTAACCCGGGAAGCGGAGGCGGCAGTGAGCCAAGATCATGCCACTGTACTCCAGCGTGGGCGACAGAGACTGTGTCTCAAAAAAGTAAATAAATAAATAAATAATGAAAATAAATAAATAAATATTTCACATCAAACTGTTTAGTTGGATTCTGCAGCTGCTTGTTGTCTGAAGCAGGGACATACTATCATACTTCTTTATGGTTGTAATACATGCTCAGTATCTACTCTGAGCCCTTGGGATTGCTCTTTTTTGTTTATGCATCAGAAGCTATTTGAATATCATGTAGTCATCCATATTCTACACACATTCATTCAAATGAAGTTATTTTGTAGTAATCGTCATATTAACAATCATAACTTTAGCACATTCCAAGTTCTCATTTTATGTTGCTATCTTCCTTTTTCCAGCTAACACATCATGTGATATCTCAGCAAATCTAATGTGATGTCCTGCTGAGTACTTTCTTGATAAAAGAAGCAATTTCAATTTCTCTATATAAAAATAGGAATTTAAAGTATATACACTTTTTAATATCATTTTATATTTTTGCATATAAAGTTCCAGGAAACAAATGAAAAAAATTATTTCCTATTGCGTTTTGTTTTGTTTCTTTTTTTTTTTTTCCAACTCTGAGAACGGCATGTCCCATTTTTAACTCATCACATCATGTTTTTTCTCCAGGACTACAATGATGAAATTCGTCAGGAACAACTACGTGAATTATCTTACTTAAATGGCTCAGAGGACTCTGGTCGTGGCAGAGGTATTAGAGGCAGAGGGATCAGAATAGCTCCCACAGCTCCTTCAAGGTACATTCATTCTTACTTTAAATAAATTAAGGATGATGGCAGGCCTTTTTTGTCCTGCTTTATGTCATGATTATCACTAGCAGTAAACAACAACATCAGCCACAATCACTACCACCACAGCAAAAACAATAACGATGAAAGCTTATCAGGCACAGAAGAGCTTTACACATGTTAAGTCACCAAATCCTCCATACTAGGAGATAAATAGCATCTGCAGGTGAGAAATTGAAGTAGAGAAAGGTGTATGAAATTTACCTGGGGTCACGTAGACAGTCTGACTCCAGAATTCACATTTTATACTTTTAACAACTACCTCTAGAAAATAAGGCAGCAAACCAGAGATTTTCTACTTTACTGTTCTATCCTCAGGATTAGAACACACGCATGATACAACTATTCACCTCTTCAAACCAAGATACCCTTGTATGAAGAGAAAACTATAAACTTTTTCTGTGCTTTAAATGGTTCTTGAATTGATATAGTCTTCCCAGATAAGGAAGTAGATAGATAGAGATACAGAGATAGATACAGATAACATATATGCCATCAGCCCAGAAAGCCAGAACACTTCTTGCATGGCTGATGGTAAGGATATTTAAAGTTCAGAGGGTATTTGTAGCTCTTCTTGGTGATCAGAGAGGATTTTATTTGATTTTGCTTACTTTGCAAAGAAATTGCTATCTTTTTGTATTAGAATTTGTTTTGCAGGATTCTGAATTGTTCAAGCTTTTAATAGAAGGCATTGGTTTGAAAAGAGTTAATATAAAAAATACTCATAGCCTTCAGAGAACAACTATGTGATTTAATCATTCTCTTCATCTTGTTATAATTGGCTTTTAAATCTCTAAAGGACAGAGATCTAAATATTATTTCATATATTACATAAAATTATCTTAAGATATGCTAAGATACTTTTCAGATTCAGTTTGTTTACTTAAATTATACCTCAAATACTTTCAACCACCACTATCAACATAGCCACTGTTTGTAACACTTAAATCAAAAATATCTCAAAATGTTTCTCACCGGTCAGAAAAAAAAGTTAAGAAAGATAAATTCTCAAATAAAATATCAAGGAATATTATTTACTAGAGGTAAAATGGGGTAATTCTGGAAATTCTATTTCACTAAAAGCAAAACTTCTGAATGTGTTCTAGAGCTTATTTATATTTTATCTTTAAAAAATCAAAAATAAGCTCTCTAATGCTGTTCAAGATCATTTGTTTATGCTAAGAATTAATGTGACATAATACAATACTGTACTTTTTTATGGGTTGTTTTGTAAAACCGTGTACATTTCTAATCTCATCTTGATGAGGTAAAAAAGACATCATTGCTAGTCATCTTTAATGGATTTAATCATAAGTTGAATCATATGAAATTGCAACTTTTGTAGTTCAACAAATGCCAATTTTACAGCTTTATGTGGTTGAACGTAAGTATAAATTTAGGATGCCTAGAGAGGGCACACACTTTTCTATTTTGTATGCCTTAAAATGCGGGGGGGGGGCATTAAAACAATGAATTTATCTGCATTTGATTTTATGAAATCATCATAGTAATAGATTTTGCTTTGTTATGGATATCCGTTAGTAGAATTTTGCATCTGGCATTTTTGAGTGGACCATATAAGATTTTAATTTCAGAGAAACCTTATTCTAAGATTTTAATCCATTTAAATAATTGAAAACAGGATAGTGCTTTATGGCCTGGATTTTAATATATCTTCTTAGAAGAAAAATTTGATTGAAAGATTTCACTATTTAATCCCATATAACATACAGATCTGATACTATATACATAAAAAGAAAAGAAAATTAGCATTAAAAATTAAATTTCACTTCCAATGCTGTACTGATATCATTAGTGGTGCTAGCATTAACGAAAGGAAATGAAACAGAATTTTGTTGTCTTCTGTTTCAAACAATATGTTGAACTGTATCTACAATTTAAAATGAATAAGAGATATTCTTTTCCTTTTAAATTTCAAGAGAAATATCTCTGATACAATATAAAGTATGGAATATGTAAATAGGAACATTATTACATTGTAGAAATACTCTTATTACTAGAATGCTAACCTTAATTTGGGAAAGAATGTTTAAGGTCTTTGCTCTTGTTTTGTTTTCTTTTGTTTTTGGACATCTAGTAAGAAGTTATGTTTTCTCCCTTACAAATCAATGTTATAAAAGAAAATAATAACTGAAAGTAAAAAGGGATTTATGAACATTTTATGTTAGTTTGGTTTGTCACAACTAATTGATCATTCCCTCTACAAATATTGATTTCATGCATATCAAGTGTCTGCATTCATTAATTACCCAATAATTTTCAATCAAGAAAAGAGTTAGATATTGTTTCACATAATTCCATTTCATCTCAATTTTTTCACCTCCCTATTGCTCCTAAATACCTCCCTTAAAAGTATTAAGTAAGTATGATAGTTGGTATATGTGTTGACCTTGTGCATTTTTTAATAAGTAAATTCTTATCGATTGAACCCTTTTGTGCATGAAAGTATAGTAGAATGAATAAGCAGAAAAGCTCTAGAAAGAGAATGCCTGGGTTCTAAATCCTAGTTCTCCCACTTACTAGATGTTATTATATTTCATCAATTTAAGGATTCATGTTTTTCACATTTTGACATCTCAAAGTGATTGTCTTCTTGACATACATGGCATAGTCATAATTTAACTCAGTGTTTTCTCTCATAGTGTTAAGATAAAATAATTGTGTATCTCATAATGAATGAGATAAACAATAAGTTAAAATGTTGACCTTGGATATGTTATGTAATTATATGTTACAATTTAATTAATACAATAATCACTTAGAGACTTACAATAAAACATTAAATGTATTACATGTAAAGACATTTACAACTGTATCGGATATTTAGTAAGTGCTCGATACTATATATTTGTTATTGCTTGAAAATTAAAGATTGGTCATACCAAATGCCCACAAAAAAAAAGAAAATAGCTTTACAAAATAGAAAATCTTATTAATAAGAGAACTTTGCATAACATGAGTTAACAATTCCTAATTTGAATTGTTATGAAATTATTACTTTATGAAGTTATTTAATTACACTTATATTCAAAAAGATGATGTCTAGAATATTTTAAGCTCTATAATTTGTTGAAAGTGTATTTAATTAAAACAATTTACATTTCAATAATCCTATCTATGATAACTCTAATTTTCCAATAATAATGTATACCAGAGAACAAAGCATTACATCTATATATTGTAATAATAATTTATTTTGCATAATTGATGAATGAAAATATATGACATCTCTAACACACATCACCACTATATGTTGCAGTGAGTGCAGTCACTGAAAAACGAAACATCGGGGTAAATTTTGAAGGCTTTTGTTTACCACGTTGAGAACGAATACATAGAACTAATAGAGTTTGTTAAAGAGGAGAGTAGTCATATTTGTTTATGCGAAAGACTACTCAATTATCACTGTGGTTGATGCAGAAGAGTTACAGTGATTGAGAGAGAGAGAGAGAGAGAGAGACAGAGACAGAGAAACCGTCTTATGGCAGGGGAGCCAATGAGAAAACAATTCCATCATCCAAGGCAGATAAAAATGAGCAGCATTTGGAATAGACAGGGATAGGGCCAGATTAGAGATTAACATTTATATGAATTAATGCCAATTAAACGTTGGAGAAGAAGAGTTCCCCAAGAGAAAGATAAATTTTTGGTGTCTAGCCTGGTGAGAAATTGATGATATCATTAACTAAGAGTAGGTGAAGGATCAAATTAAATGAAGAATATAATTATTCTTGTAAATAATCTGAGCTCTGTGGATTGCTGGTGTGACCTTGGGCAGGTGACTTGTTCTCTCCATGCCTTAATATCTCAATGTATTTTTAAAAAACTTAGAACTGCCCACATGACAAGCTTGTCAAGATGCTTAAATTGGAGTATTCATTTAAGGCAGTGGTTCCCAAATTGGCCTGTATTTTGGAATCACTGGGAGCTCCCTGTCTCCAGAGATTGTGGTTTAATTGGCCTAGGGTATGGCCTGGAATTTGGAATTTTCAAAAGATCCTCAAGTAACTTTAACATGCAGGCAAGTTAAGAAACTTCTGATATAAGGAACACAAGCCAAGATATGGCATTATGTTAGGAAGAAAACAGATTATAGCCATCATCAGAGGTAGGGATTGCAGGGTGCAACCATGAGATCGAGGATAGAAACTGGGGACATCCAGATTCCAAAGTGGGTCCAGGAATACAAGCCAGTGAAGGAGGATAACGAATAAGGAGGAATGAGGAAAAGTAGAGAAAAGCAGAGTCATAAAAGTCCAAAGAAACATTTTCCAGATAATAGTCCACAATCTTAAAAATAGTAGAAAGGTGCTGTGGCATGGAGACTGTAAAGAAATCTAGTGGATTTGGAAATCAGTAGGCTACTGGTGATCTCAGCCAAGAGCATTTTCAACAGAGGGGTGAAAGCAAGAACTAGACTGATAACATTCAGTTCAGGAATGTAGAGGAAGTAAAGAATTAAACAGAAAATATTCTTTCAGCAAGTCAGACAAATAAACGACAGGATACTGTGGTGTGGTTTTAGCCAGGGGCAGTATCCTAAAAAAAGTGATTTGAATTAAATTGGAGGAGAGAACAATGAGGTTAATATTCCAGGGAAAGAACATAGTGGATAAGAGGTAATGAGTCAGGTTCAGGAGGCAGGTTTGCTAGGGCTGTGTCTGGTAGTCAGTTGATGAAGGAAGAAAATGGAAAATTAGATTTGATATGAGCATCATATAATATTAGAGCAGAAGGAAGTACTATAAATTTAGAAATCTGCATTTTACTCATTAGAAAAAAAAATATCTATCTTAAGCCTAGGTAGTTATAATACTTACCCATGACTATTCAAGGGTATAGCGAAGGCTCGTGAATAGAGTAGGGTGACCATATAATTTATTGCCCACACATGGATATTTTTGAGAGTGTTAAAATGCTAAACTGAACAGGAAGCTAGGACAACAGTTATAAAACCTGGACATATGCTCATCTTGCTTATGAGGAAACAGAAATGTGCTTGGAGGAGCAGTGAAGGCAAAATTGGTTTTTACATCCCTTTATGTATTATCATGGTAATACAGAATACTGTATTCTTAGCCATGTTGTACTTGCAGCCAGCACTGGGCCTCTGGGTCTTTGTGTTTCACCTTCTCCCAATCTAGGAGAGTATTCTTTATACATTAGACTCACAATAAATTCTCTCATCATTTCTCTATTCATCAGCTCTGTAATCTATTTAAAAATTTTAAAGGTTTTGCCAGCATTCGTACCCTTCACTTATAAATGCTCACTTTTATTTTAAGCAAGAAAGAGCCATCTGACTGCTATTCATAGCAGACAGCATAACCTATGTCCCCATATGTGCCTACAGCCAAATACTGTGATTGTTGACATCTCAATGATCATCATTTTTTTCCCCAAAGCTTTAGTGTTCCCACTGAAAGCAGTGCTATCTAGAGGCCAACCTTTCAGACAAAATAAAAAGTGAAATAACTGTTCTTTTGCCCAAAGACTTCAGACAAACACTCAACCATTCTAAAGGCTTCAAAATGCCATAAAAATTGGCCACAACCATTTGATCTTACACTTTTAGTGCAAGTCAATTTTGTATCAAGAACTGCAATACAGAGTATTCAGTCTGTTATTTTTATTACAGATACTAAAGTATTCCTCTAACACCATAGTTATGGTTAAGAAAATATATTCTGTCAGGGACTGCACCAGTTCAGGGGGTTACAGGCATGATGATAAATCAGTGACAAAGAGTTGTGATTTCAAGTAATCTCAAACTTAAGCAGCTATAGTAAACAGAATGATATCACTATGGTTAGATTCCCACATTTTATTTAAGTGCAGCCACCTTTTTTTTTGGTAAATGACAGCATTGTCCATCACTATCTGTAATCCCCAGCATAAAGGAGATGCAGACATCTGAAACCGCTCAGTTTCAGAGATGGTCCAGTGAGTCATATATCAGACGATGCTCTGATTTGTGTCTTCTTCGAGAATTTGGAATTTAATGGGGTTATATTCAGAGTGGGTTTTTGTTTGGGTTTTTTTTTTTTTTCTGGCTTTGGGTTTTTAGTTATATAAAAGACAATAACAAAGTATTTTACATGGTTTTTATAAGAACTAATCATAGTCAGTGTTTACAATTATTGTCTTCTATAGATATCAACACACTTTATATCTTATATAATTTCTATTAAATGCATACACACACACACACACAGAGAGAGAGAGAGAAATTTGTATTTATTTCATTGTATGGAGGCTGTGAGATGAAAACTTTTTCTGTGATAGGCCCTTTTCTCTCATCACCTGTTTCTCATCTATACATGACTTGTTTCTCTTAGGGGCCGTGGGGGTGCCATTCCTCCTCCCCCACCACCTGGACGAGGTGTTCTCACCCCTCGGGGAAGCACTGTAACCCGTGGAGCGCTTCCAGTGCCACCTGTAGCAAGAGGTGTCCCTACCCCTCGAGCCCGGGGGGCACCAACAGTGCCAGGATACAGGGCACCTCCTCCTCCAGCCCATGAAGCTTATGAAGAATATGTAAGTACTCTTAAGAAATAAGTTGTAAGGATGAGTTAAATTGATTAGTTAACAAGCTACGTCTCAAACTGTTCATATACCGTGAATATAGCAGGTAATGTTTGTTGCAGAAACGAATGTCATTTACAACAGAATTTAAGCAGTGCATTTAAATGAGAGCATTTTGAGAAAAGGTTTCATTTTACAGGTGTCATCACTGTTAGTGCTAGTTAAAGAGCTTGTATTTTAAGAACCAAACTTATCCTTAGGAAGTTTGATCAGATTTCAAATGAGAAATAATTATAAACAAAAGGTGAATTGCCATGTATTCAGAGATTTCTGGAACTTGACAAAGATTAGCATAAAACTCAGAAATATTTAACAAATATAATATGATTATATTATAAACTTTGGGAGTATTGTAAGACCGTGTGGCTGGTCTTTCATTTATATATCCTGACTCTTTCTTTCACCATATTAAAGATGTGGATTGGCATAAAAAATTCAAAAAAATATACAATGAATAGACAAAATGCAGTGTTTCCAAGCATCCCCCTCCCTTCCTATCTACTGTATCTTTTGGTCATCTTATGTATCTAAACATCTTTTAACCTTTAGTTCTGATTGTCAGTATTCCACTAATTACATTGTGGTCCTTGTGTCCATTTCTCCGACTAGATTGTGAAATATGTAAAAAGGGAAAATTTACTAATAGTGTAACAATAGGAAGTCTTCTGTAAATGTTTTTTTTTTTATTATTATACTTTAAGTTTTAGGGTACATGTGCACAACGTGCAGGTTTGTTACATATGTTTACATATGCCATGTTGGTGTGCTGCACCCATTAACTCATCATTTACATTAGGTATATCTCCTAATGCTATCCCTCCCCGCTCCCCTCACCCCACAACAGGCCCCAGTGTGTGATGTTCCCCTTCCTGTGTCCATGTGTTCCCATTGTTCAATTCCCACCTATGAGTGAGAACATGCGGTGTTTGGTTTTTTGTCTTTGCGATAGTTTGCTGAGAATGATGGTTTCCAGCTTCATCCATGTCCCTACAAAGGACATGAACTCATCATTTTTTATGGCTGCATAGTATTCCATGGTGTATATGTGCCACGTTTTCTTAATCCAGTCTATCATTGTTGGACATTTGGGTTGGTTCCAAGTCTTTGCTATTGTGAATAGTGTCGCAATAAACATACGTGTGCATGTGTCTTTATAGCAGCATACTTTATAACCCTTTGGGTATATACCCAGTAATGGGATGGCTGGGTCAAATGGTATTTCTAGTTCTAGATCCCTGAGGAATGGCCACACCAACTTCCACAATGGTTGAACTAGTTTACAGTCGCACCAACAGTGTAAAAGTGTTCCTACTTCTCCACATCCTCTCCAGCACCTGTTGTTTCCTGACTTTTTAATGATTGCCATTCTAACTGGTGTGAGATGGTATCTCATTGTGGTTTTGATTTGCGTTTCCTTGATGGCCAATGATGATGAGCATTTTTTCATGTGTCTTTTGGCTGCATAAATGTCTTCTTTTGAGAAGTGTCTGTTCATATCCTTTGCCCACTTGTTGATGGGGTTGTTTTTTTCTTGTAAATTTGTTGGAGTTCATTGTAGATTCTGGATATTAGCCCTTAGTCAGATGAGTAGGTTGTGAAAATTTTCTCCCATTCTGTCAGTTGCCTGTTCACTCTGATGGTAGTTTCTTTTGCTGTGCAGAAGCTCTTTAGTTTAATTAGGTCCCATTTGTCAATTTTGGCTTTTGTTGCCATTGCTTTTGGTGTTTTAGACATGAAGTCCTTGCCCATGCCTATGTCCTGAATGGTAATGCCTAGGTTTTCTTCTAGGGTTTTTATGGTATTAGGTCTAACATTTAAGTCTTTAATCCATCTCGAATTAATTTTTGTATAAGGTGTAAGGAAGGGATCCAGTTTCAGCTTTCTACATATGGCTAGCGAGTTTTCCCAGCACCATTTATTAAATAGGGAATCCTTTCCCCATTGCTTGTTTTTCTCAGGTTTGTCAAAGATCAGATAGTTGTAGATATGTGGCATTATTTCTTAGGACTCTGTTCTGTTCCATTGGTCTGTATCTCTGTTTTGGTACCAGTACCATGCTGTTTTGGTTACTGTAGCCTTGTAGTATAGTTTGAAGTCAGGTAGCATGATGCATCCAGCTTTGTTCTTTTGGCTTAGGATTGACTTGGCAATGCAGGCTCTTTTTTGGTTCCATATGAACTTTAAAGTAGTTTTTTCCAATTCTGTGAATAAAGTCATTGGTAGCTTGATGGGGATGGCATTGAATCTATAAATTACCTTGGACAGTATGGCCATTTTCATGATATTGAGTCTTCCTACCCATGAGCATGGAATGTTCTTCCATTTGTTTGTATCCTCTTTTATTTCATTGAGCAGTGGTTTGTAGTTCTCCTTGAAGAGGTCCTTCACATCCCTTGTAAGTTGGATTCCTAGGTATTTTATTCTCTTTGAAGCAATTGTGAATGGGAGTTCACTCATGATTTGGCTCTCTGTTTGTCTGTTATTGGTGTATACGAATGCTTGTGATTTTTGCACATTGATTTTGTATCTTGAGACTTTGCTGAAGTTGCTTATTAGCTTAAGGAGATTTTGGACTGAGACAATGGGGTTTTCTAGATATACAATCATGTCATCTGCAAACAGGGACAATTTGACTTCCTTTTTTCATGATTGAATACCCTTTATTTCCTTCTCCTTCCTGACTGCCCTGGCCAGAACTTCCAACACTATGTTGAATAGGAGTGGTGAGAGAGGGCATCCCTGTCTTGTGCCAGTTTTCAAAGGGAATACTTCCAGTTTTTGCCCATTCAGTATGATATTGGCTGTGGTTTTGTCATAGACAGGTCTTATTATTTTGAGATATATCCCATCAATACCTAATTTATTGAGAGTTTTTAGCGTAAAGTGTTGTTGAATTTTGTCACAGGCCTTTTCTGCAACTATTGAGATAATCATGTGGTTTTTGTCGTTGGTTCTGTTTATATGCTGGGTTATGTTTATTGATTTGCTTATGTTGAACCAGTCTTGCATCCCAAAAACAGTCCAGGACCAGACAGATTCACAGCCGAATTTTACCAGAGGTACAAGGAGGAGCTGGTACCATTCCTTCTGAAACTATTCCAGTCAGTAGAAAAAGAGGGAATCCTTCCTAACTCATTTTATGAGGCCAGCATCATCCTGATACCAAAGCCTGGCAGAGACACAACAAAAAAAGAGAATTTTAGACCAATATCCCTGATGAACATCGATGCAAAAATCCTCAGTAAAATACTGGCAAATGGAATCCAGCAGCACATCAAAAAGCTTATCCACCATGGTCTTCTGTAAATATTAAATTTAACTGATGCAAGCCAGATCATTGTACTATGAAAATGATTTATTTTGCCTTTAACCTCTCCAGCATGTCCATCTCCTGATCTAGGTATTTGTTTCATTCAACTATCCATAAACATGCTGTCCTCTTCAATGTCTTATGTAAATTATTGCTCATTTAAATGTAAACTCTTCAAATATAGTTACTGTCACATACTGGGCACTCAAAACATATGGACTGGTTAATAATCAAAATTTAACTATAAAATAAAGTAAACATAGTTTATAGCTAATCCTAAGAGTATATTAATTTTTAGCATGTATTCCTTTTAGGAATAATGTTACTAAGTGTAAAAATCCACTTCTACTTGAACAGGTGAAATGTGTTCATCTAAGTATCTTCACTACATCAACTATCAATATTTAAAACCTTAGACAATCTTAAAATTGCAAAACCAGAAACAGAAATCATATTCTACTCTGCAAACAAACCCACAAGGTTCAAAAAAAACTCAGGGACTAGCCCTGGTTCTGCCATTTCTTGCCAGAGACATAGTATGTGAAAAATAAGGACTTGTTTAAATGAATTAAAAATCCACAACAAGGGTGGTAGGATCACTTTTTATCTTTGGGGAACTGTGTAGCTCAACAATCTTTATGTACGTTGTCACTATGGTGTTTTTGTCCTCCAAATAGAGGCTTAAACAGATCAGTTTTTAAAAATTAAGAAGAGAGAAAAACTTTTCAGGTAATAGTAGTTAGCATTGTTATTAATAGAAGAATTTACTCAGCATGTTTGGGACTGTGAAAGAGAAGACTGGCAAAACAATTGTAGCCTCTCGTGTGTTCCAATTTATAGTGAATACATCAGTAGAATATGAGTCAAGAGTAATCAACAAAAGCATAAAGAGTTTATGGAAATGTGGGTGAAAAGGGTTATATTCTAAATGGGAAAATTTAAGAGGTGAGTATGTTCCTTAGAAAAGATAACAGAAAATAGTAAAATATTAAATATTAGGTAATCTGAAATTATTATTTAGATTTTAAAGTACCCACTTGCTTTTATTTATTCAATCAGTCACTCACTGAGCCTCCATCTTATTTTAGGTGTGTTCTGAAGGTCCTGGAGACATATCTGTGAACAAATCAAACCAAATGTCTGCTTTCATAAAGCTTATATTTTAGTGGGAAGAGACAGAAAATAAACATATGTAAACAAATGAATAAAAATTAATGAGGTAGAGATAAGTGCTCCGGAGAGAGGTGAGGAGAGTCCACTTCCAGAAAATGGGCAGTTAGGGAAGGTCTCTCTGAAGTGGAGACGTTTGAGCAAATGCTTAAATGAATTGAGGGTCTTGGCCAATTGGCTGCTTCTGTAAACAATATCCCTGGTAGAGGAAACTGCAAGCATAAATGCCCTGAAGTGGAACCTGTTTGAAATATTTGGGGATCAGCAAGGAGGACATTAAAGCTGGAGCAGAATGTGTGAGGGAGAGGTAGCAAATAACATTGGGGCAGTGGACAGGCCAATTCATGGTGCTGTTGGAGCGTGCAGAGGAGGAAAGTGGCATGATTAGATTTATGTTTTGAAAGGTTTAATCTGCCTACATCATGGATAATAGAACATGCGGGTGGAGGTAGGCACAAAAGTGGAAACAAGGAGACTGTTAACTGGTTGCATTGCCCCCCCACCCACCCCATGACAGGATGATGGAGGGGATGAGAGGAGGTTCAATTCTAAGTGTACTGCAAAAATCATCTGTTAAGATTTGATGATGGAAAATACGTGGATGTGTGAAAGAGAGAGGAGTAAAGGAATGTGTTTATGAAGTAAAGGTGATTAGACTGAACGACTGGGTTAAATTGAGACACTGTTTGTTGAAATGAATATATCACGAGGGAAGTTGAAGGTTCAGTTTGAGATTCCTGAGTGTCACTGGGTGGACAGGATGTGGCACTTCAAAACAGACAGCAGCACCTCAAGGTCTGAATTCTAACTGTGACACTACCTGTGTAATTTTACAAACACTTTGAGGTTTGGATCTCTTCTATATAATGGGAATAATCGTTTCAGCCTCTCAAGACTCTATTGAAGATTAAAAATAAATATTCATAAGCACTTATAAGCATGCATAAATACCTAGAATATTGTTGTTAATAAAAGGTAACTATTACATAAAATTTTATCATATATAATATTCCTTAATTTTTGCTTGTGATAAGTTATGGACCCTTTGAAGTCATAGATATTAATAATCTATTTTTTGTGAGTTACTTAGGCATTATTGATTGCAAAAAGCAGAAGCACTTTGAACTTCATTTAGTAAAATTTTTAAAAAGCTGGCTCTGGGGGAAGTGTCATATGAATATAGGTTCATAAAATCCTGCCATAGGAATGCCAGGAATGCTATCTGGGCTTAAGAAAGGTCTGTACCAGCCGGGCCCGGTGGCTCATGCCTGCAATCCCAGAACTTTGGGAGGCCGGGGTGGGTGGATCACGAAGTCAGGAGATTGAGACCATCCTGGTTAACACGGTGAAACCCCATCTCTACTAAAAATGCGAAAAGTTAGCTGGGCATGGTGGCGGGCGCCTGTAGTTCCAGCTACTCGGGAGGCTGAGGCAGGAGAATCACTTGAACCCGGGAGGCGGAGCTTGCAGGGAACCGAGATCGCGCCACTGCACTCCAGCCTGGGTGACAGAGAGAGACTCGTCTCAAAAAAAAAAAAAAAAAAAGGAATTAGAAAACTATAAGGAATCTCTCTTCCTATCTCATCTCTGTTTTCTCTGCATATGTGTTTCCTTTCCGTTTTATCTACATACTGGATATTTTTTTGGCTTCTCTGAAAATGTGACTTACATATAGTACAATACCTCCACCCAGGGCTGCCATGTTTTTATGTTCAGCTCTAGTCACCAACAGATACTAGCCTCTCAGTTCTGTGCCATATCCCCAGGTGGGAAAATGGCATTCAGCCAGGGTTGTCAGGTGTCTAGCACTAATCGGTCACCTCTAACCATAGGGAAGAAGTCAACTGAAATTAGGTCTGGGATCTACCACTCATCAGCCACCAATGGCAAAGGTAGAGGAGGGGAGAAGTTTGCACAATATAAACATAGTTATTGGGGACCCAGCCCCAAGGACAATATGGGGAGACACTAATTTTTAGAGAGGAAAATGTATTATGAGCTTGGCAGACATCCCAAAACGTATCTAGGAGAACATACTATTGATAATAGTAAAAAGTATATAGATATATTTTTGAAAAACTGTTAATAGCATATTTTATGAAAACCTGTCTTGTATTATATTTTCATTATTTTTGTTTCTAAAAACAATTTAATGAGTAAGGTTTAATACGTGACTGATAGGCTGCTGGCTGCAATCTTTGAAATCCTTAGTGCCCAACCCAGATTAGCACTCAAGAGCTGCTACTCTCTGCTCTAATTTTAGACTATTGATTCCTCTGCAAGGGGTAAGAAAAACAAAAGTTTAAGTGTTTCAATAACAAAATAATAGCACCATGTTGAGTTGATGGTGAAAATCTCAAAGGAGTTCTTAACTTTCAGATAAAATTTCTTAGTAAAGCTTCCTTTTATTATAAATCCCTCTATGAGTCAATTCACTCTTCAGACTTCTTTCTCCCCTGCTGAGCCTCAGCATTAAATTTCTGACCACATGGAATGTATTTAAGTAATCAAATCCACTCCTTGCAGCTGGCCTGACAAGAAACAGCTTACTGTAATTGAGAATGCTGTTTAAACCCATCATTAGTGTTAGCTGAGTCTTAAAAAATTTTGAATTTTAGTTTGTTACACATCGTAACCCAGACTTTAAATATTTTAAAGCTTTTTTTCATTGACCTTCTGCTAAGACGAGTAAATTTACATTTTACAGATCCATCTTCATGATTGAAGTAGATTTGGAAAATCAAAAATAATATTTCAACAAAAACTCCCATAGGACAAAATATTAAGCATTATCAGCTCTACCAGTGGATAATATGTTAAAAGAGAATAAATTAAAACTAACACTTTTGAATACCTCCTAGGTTCCAGTCACTGTGTATTAACTCACTTAATCTCAGGATAATACTATCAACTAGTTTTAGATTTTACTATTTTAGTAGGTAAAGAAACTGAAGCTTGAAACTGAGAATTGCATCCACTTTTCTGTCTCTACAAATTCTCTATCTGATACATTGTGTTTCCTCTCGGTAAAGAACCATAAGGTATCCTGTAGAGTACTTATCTCACAAAGAACTCACACAGTTTCACACAGATCATTTGTACTTCATACTCCCATCTAGACCACTAGCCAGTGTTTTAGTCCCCTCAGCAATACTTAGGACATCTCCCAGTATTTATACCTGCATGAAGACCTCCAACTACAGAGAACTCAATACCTCCAGAAACTAAGTGCTGGAAATATAAAAACTGTAGTTAAAGAGAAACTATCTCTACTCTAAAAAGGATGCCATCTAGTGGGAGAGATAGCATTAGTCCAACAATTAACATATATGTATTTGCTATATAGGGCTCTTATCTTACTCTACCCTCTATTAGAAGTCATTTGCTGTTATCTCACTTACAAGATTTTATACATCCTAAAGGCAGTGTTTCTTAAATTTGCTTTATCTTTTCAGTTCTAAGTAAAGTGCTTTGAATTGAACCTACTTATGATATTTGGGGGAAAAGGTTATACATATGCACACGAACACATATATAAACATATATATAATGACAGTAGAACACAGCATATAATAAGTACCAAATAGAAACTATGCATGCTCCAGGAAAGGGAATTATCACAGATGGCTATATGGCTGTTTTAGAAAACCTCTAAGAGGGTAAGAAAAACGACTGCAAGGAGACCAGGATAATAGTTATAACATTTAGAAGCAGAGAGAAGAGGGAGAAAACTCCATGCAGAAGGGATGGTAAAAGCAAAGACAAGAAAAGGAAACTTTCAAAGCAAGTCTAAAGAATCTGGAAGAACAATTTGGTGAAATATAGTTTAAGATAGCAGGGAAATAATGGAGAGAAAAGTAGAGAAGAGTTACGTATACCCTCAAGGCTGAGGTTGTAACTTCACTTATAATAAAATGCCACCTGAAGATTTCACAGCAGAAGGCAACCTGAGGTTTTGGGGAATTTTATAATTCTCAGTTGTCTAGGGTGGATTAAAGAAGAGGATGAAGGAAGAAGATTTAGGGAATTAACAATAGTGAGACTGACTGAGATGTGGCCCTAGCTATGACAACAGGGATGGTATTGGAGGTATTCAGGCCAAAGGTAAAGCTGAAGGTAAAAACAATAGGGTTTGATGGCAAATGCATTTGGGAGGAGTAAGAAAAAGCAAGCAGGCCTCACTCAAAGTTATGTTTGTACACAGGAATGGGTAAAGGAAGAGGCACAGGAAGGAAGGCCATAGTGGGGAGGGGTGGACAGTGAAGGAGTGACTTTGATGCTAAAGAAGCTCCCTCCATGGCTGTGGGAGGGGATTATAAATGTGTTTACATGGTCATCTCTCTTTGTTGCAAAAGTAAGGTATTTTATCTGCAATCCCCAGGTGACATCCTCACCTGTCACACTGCCCTTTGTGTCAAATGGTGGTAGAGTGGGCATGACTATCTGTGAAGAATAGTTAGTTAGAAATTCATTTAGTTTGGGTTTAGAGGAATATTTTGTTTGCATTATTTAGATATTGCTACTGTTCTGTTGTATAAATATTTCCAGGAATACTCCTACCATCTCACATAGTGTTGTGACACAAGTATTCACAGATAGAGGTTTTACTGCTATTCCATTGTGAACTACAACACTGATACGGGAAGGATGTGGTTAGTGGAGGAGAAATAAGATTTGAATTGTATTGGGCCAGAATATGCTCTGTGGAAAACTCTTTCATATCATTCAGCTCAGCTATGAAAGAGACTTGACGGAAGTTTCCCCAAATATCAGAACAATGCCAATGGCTATAACATAACCATCAATGAGTTGTGAAACAGAAATGCGCTTTTTAAAACTATCCATAACAACTCTTTTTTTTTTCTATCAACCAGCTACAGAAAAATCCTTAATTTTGTTTCCTGTCTATAGAAAATATTATCAAAATCATTGTCATATTAGAAGATGATCAAAACGTAGACCTCCAAAAAGCATAGGGATTTGTTGACTAATAAAACAGAAATTCTATATTGTTTTCTAGATTTTGTGATGTTAATAGTGTTTTCAGGTTTAGAAAATTTACAGTTGTTTGTTATTGCTTTTCTCATTCAAAATAAATATTCACTTTCCTGCCAACTATGGATACATAATTTTTTAAATCTTTTTCTTAAAGAAGGAATGCAAAATTATATAATTTTGAGGCCCCACAAACTTTGCATCCCACCCTGAAGAGGAAAATAATGGCAACATTTATAGGAAAATACACATCTCTATGGGGGGACAGAGCAGGGAGAGATTGTTTAAAGAAAAAACTGACTGTGTAACCTTAGTTTCTTGCTGGTACTAAAAGTCTGTTCTGTGCTTAGCTAGAACCAAGTTAGTGTTGTTAATTTCCTTGTGGAAATGCGGTCCTTTTAACAAAGGTTACATAGTGTAACAGTAACAAAGGTTACTGTTATGTGCAGGTAAAGGCACACAGCTTCTGGAAGTGTCTGTCAGAACATTTCACCCTGTGGAGACACGCTGACAACATAAAAATCTGCTTATGTAAGCACTCTCTTGTAACTCATATGTTGGTGTAGCTTTTTAAAAAAGCAGATAAAAAAGAAAAACAAAGACACTTCAGGTAGACAAAACAGTTTCCAGTTTCTAAAGACATACGTTTAATTTATTTTTAAATTACTTCATATTTTCTCTAAGGGTTAACACCCAGACATCAAGGAGGTGTATCGGGACACAACAAAGCAAGAAGAGATATAATTAAAATTCAGTTCAGCACGACATGAGAAATTTTGACTCCATAATCAATCATGCTAACCTAATGTATAAAAAGCATTTTGACAAATTTTTGAGAAGTTTCTCTTTTCATCAGCCTTAAGTAAGCCTATCGGCATTCCAGCCTATCCTATCATCTAATTCAGACTCTGAGGCATCCTTCCAGTAACAATGAGAGAACTAGAAAATTCACTGGTAAATCAATAGTCCTTAAAAGTTCCATAAATGAGTTCAGGCTGCCAACCCTCAGTTTCATGTGTATGGAACATTTTTTGACAGGAGAGGGAAATAGGTATTAAATGATAATTGAAATCAATTCTTGTGCCATTTTTGTGCAAGGAAAGATTATGAGCCTGATCTGTAAGGCATTTTGAGGGGAGCCACGTGTGGCTTTTTGTGTAATAGCCAAGAGCCTTTACCCAAAGAAAGCAGATTTTGTTAGAGTTTTTAGACTGGATATTTGTATTCCATTAAACATTCTTGTTTGAGTTTCATGCTCTAGTCCCCATTTTTTAGAGACTAATTTACCAGGATGCATTGCAGAGTTTTGTTTCTTGAAATGTAACTAATATTTAAAATAACTAAAACATGCAAGGTTAATGAAATGTATTGTGAAACTATAGGACGGACATAATACTATTATGGTTCAACTATTCATAGAATGGAAAAAGGTAGCGGTATGTAAATACTGTTAAAATATTACATTTATTTCCCATAGTTATGTAAGATGTCACCTTTTAAAATTGTGTATATTCTTCTCTGCAGTTGAAGTTTGAATAAGCCATCCTTCTTCTAGTGTTATTTAAATTTTAAGTCATTTTAGAAAAGATGCAGATTCTTCTATTGGCTACAATACTCAGAATTATATCCAAACCTGTACTTTATAATTAACATGATGACTAATGTCTTTTGTAACACTTACAAGGATGAAAATAGGTTTCTCCCTGTGCCATTTTGAGATGGCTTCTAGCTGCTGTAAAGTATTATATCATAAAGTATTTTAAAGTTTCCTCTAGGCTCTGTTGGAGTAAAAAATGCCGTGATCTTTATGCAATTTGTGCTGTAGACACGGGGAGGACAGCAGTGGCAAAAATGACAAACTGCCATCTCAGCCTCAGGGAGTTCTATCTTTTTTTTGAAACATTATTTGTATATTTTAGGCTATATTATTTTCTATCTTTTGATCATACACATGGCCTAAGGATTAAAAATGAAAGTGATTTGAGCCTTGATTTATTTCTATGGGTATATTCCTAAAAAGCTATGCTGGGTACAAATTAATAATTTTAAATCATGTTTTTCCTTCTGAGTTCATTATAGTTTTGACAATTATACTCCCACTGAAAAATTAACACCCTATATTGGGTTACAAATCATATCTAAGAATCCTAAAATTCACTTTGGATTTTGTTGGTTGAAAAACATTAATTGCTGTGTTTTGACAGCACCACCCTTATAATTTTCTGGCAAGGAAAATGTAAATACAAATTGCCTGCTTAGTAAGATTGTCACTGACTTTGCAGAAAGCCTTACAGGAATGGTTAATGAGGATTGAGATCTTTTCCACATTTTGGGCCTTTTCTGTTATGGATTCCCTATTTAGTGGAAAATAGAGGCTGCTAAATCCTTCTATCAGAAACAGATCTTTGTGATTATTTTCTATAATATCTTATGATCCAAAGGCTTTTACTAGGGATGCTGTAGATGTTCTTTGCAATAACTTGTAATAATCTCAAGATTTGAGTTAAGACTATTTCTCTTCATTGTTGACGATGGAAAATCACACTTTTCCTTTATATGAAACCATGTTGTTGATCAATTTGGTAGAGGAAGGACACAGAAAGGACCCTCGTTTATTCCTTCTGCCTCATATTTCTTAGAAACCAAATAGAGAATAGGCTGCATTGCTTAGAAACCAAATGGAGAATATCCTGATGGGCTTTTTATTTTTTCATCTTTCTTCACATATTCACATTCATTCTTCAACAGTACCTCTGACTTATAAACACCCGTATGAAGTGAGTTTTTATTTTACACTATCATGGATACTAACAGAGTTGGAGAGGTACGGATACAACTGGTGTGAGTGCCAGATAGAAGGTTCAGGTTGCTGGGGGATGAGTAATTTGTTATTTCAAGTGATCTTTTCTTTCTTCTTCTCAACATCTACAAATAAGCCTGAAACCTTTCCTACTTTTTTCTACTCTTGGTATAGGGGGAGAACACCTCACATGTTAAGAATCACAGAGATTGTGTATCAAAGAGAACAAGAGATATTTTGCTTCTAATGTTCTCACTTTCTTCCTCTTGTGCAGTAGTACTGGATGTTGTAAACTATTTGAAAATAAAAGCTGATGCCCTTTGTTGTAATTTAGCCCATGTTGTAATTTCTGGAGGCCATTTATACTGCAATATTTTTGGATTAAATAATATAGCTACAATATATGCCTTTGCAGAATAATAAATAACCAACCAAAATAGTAACTGGTGCCCCAGCCAATATATTTTGCTGTTCTGCACCGGTACAGAGCACCCGTTGTTGTCAGACCTCCGATTCAATTTGTTGGTGCCTTAGCCATACTGACTATTAATATTGTAACACTTCCATAATGGTGAATTGTAGAAATTCAGCATTACAGGTGTTCCCAACTAGACAAATTAAGTCAACTAAGTTAGAGATTAGGAGGATTCCTTATTGAAGTCCTTGAAGCAGATGTCTAAGCCAGGTGGTTGCACTGCACCAGAATCTCTTGTGGTCACAGTTAGTGCTGATGCCATTTGTGACTTCAGAAATCCCTGTACTCTGCCTGTCGAGATGTTGAATTTTCTCACTGTCTCTTCCTTGGTCTTTCAGTGTGTCCCACATCTGTAAAGAGAGTTGAACATAATCTAATGGACCTCACTACCTCTCTCTAGAATTTATATAGAATCTCCTGAATGCAAAAGACTATCATGCATTTTGAATATTAAAAAAAGGTCTTTTCAAGTTCATTATTTTAATTTAATGTTGGAGAAATTAAGGTTAGGAGAGTAACTGACTAAAGTCACACCACTGGCAATGCCAATCATAGATTTGCTGACTTTCCCTACAACTCTTTTTCCAATGGATATTGCAAGGAGAGAAGAAAAGGCACAAATGCACTTAAACATGGGCCTTCCAGGTCAGTCATCTGGCACCCATGTGGATCTGAGGTTCAGGATTTTCTAAAATTACAGGGAGTAAGCTGAGAGCATGATATATGAGAATGTTTGAGCCCTTATGTCAAGTACATATACCCACGAGGTTTCTGTGGCCCAAATTTCTCCTCTTATCTTTCCTCCTCTGAAACTTAATGGCCATCTAGAAGCTGCACACAATCCCTGCCACATCCTCTACCTTTTATTTTTTAGTTAATGACACTCCTAAGGAAGCAAATGTTTGTCAGCAGCATAAACAAAATGAAGGACCCTAGTTTTCCTTTATTTATCAGAGTAGTTTCTTTTTGGAAACAGGATTGATAGAAATCATGTAAGAATATTCTTTCCTGCATATATTCTGTCACTTCTTTCTAAGACTTCACCCAAAAGTAAGAAGTTATAGTTGTGAAGACAGGAGTATAGTTTACTGTAAGACAGAAAACACACTGGGAGGCAGGAAAAGATTTTAGGAGATATTTCTGGGGATTTAGTTGGTTAAAAAGTAGCTCCTTACTCATTAAGCAGGAACTGATCCCTTATATATTTGAAACCAGATCTTTAAAAAATGTGTCTGTTTTATATTCCAAATAAATTAAAATGTTTTAAGCAAAATATCTGGTACAGAACAGAATTACACACAGAGATCTGTAAATATAATGAAGCACAAATATATTTCATTTCCTATCTAGATTTTGTTTGAGATTTTCTTTTACATAAAATATACACTTAAGATCCAGACAACAGAATATGATTGTTTCATATGTCACTTAGGCAGCAGATATTACCCCTAAAATAAATCTACCAAATCCTCTCCCTTCCAGAATGCAATCTCCTCCATTAAAATTTGCTCCCAAATTAACAATTTTCCTCCAGCTATATTTTGTATTTTTTTCTATTATAAGTTTTTACAGGGCTATTATAACACCACAATTTCAGCTTTCATCTCCAAAACTATCTTAAATCTTGACTGTCTCTATTGTCTTATCTGTTCGAGAGTCTTCAATTTTGTGTGTACTTTTCCATTCGGAGTACCTCTCTTCTTATGCTATGCATCTGAACCTGATTTCATCAAACAATCCCAATTTAGAATTCCTCCTGATTTGCCTACTTCAACTTAGTTGAGCCTCAAAAAATCTAAAAATTATATTTTGATTCTTTCTTTGCTTTGTCTCAAATATTAAATCAGATTTATTTTCCTACAATGCTAAATTTATCTTATCACTTATTTGTTTAAAAACATCAATCTCTTCCTGTTACCTAAAGGCTAACATTTCAAATTTTCACATATATAAATATATAATACTATGAGAAGATAAAGATATATAATGTTATGAGATAAATATTATGAGAAGATAAAGATGAACTTATTATTGACTAATGTTTTTCATTTTCAAATAAGATTTTGACAAAAATAATTTAAAATGGATGAACAAGAGACAAAAGTCCTAAATTTATATAGTACATACAGTTAGCAGCAACTTTAAGATGTTAGTATGTTAAAGGATACTGAGCTATTTGACTAAATTTACTTTAATGTTTATGGACTCTCCATTCTCTGTTATGCTAATTTCCACAGGCAGAGGCAATGAAGGATAAAAATGTTAGGGCTTTAGTTTTTAATATCACAATAATAAAAGTTAAGAGGCTTAATTCTTGTTTCTTTAATTAAGGAGTTTTAGGGTCTAATAATTAGATAGATATATCAGACATAGGCCTGAAAACAGAGCCAGACAGGTCTGTCTTCAAAGCTAACAGCATGTAAAGATGTAAAAGGCAGAGTCCATGGCTTTAAAAAGGAAACAGGTAAGATAGCTGGACAAAAACAAAGCTTACAGATACAGGGCAGAATATAATTTGTGAGAGTGAACTCCAGACTTCATTGTTAGATATATGCTGATATTTTCTTGACTTACTTCATAAAGTGGGTGTGAAGTAGTACCAGCTGGAAATCCCATTAAACTAAATATATCTGTAAGGTTTTTTATTAGCCTTGCTTCTACTCAGGAAGCCTGAAGAACTAAGTAGGTATATACTGCTTTCTATTTGATGTAGTAAGTACATAGGAATTTGGCAGAAGGGCAGCAACCAATAATCTTCAACTTTATAGTAGTCAGGATAGAAAAGACTAGGGCAATTAGATGTATAGTCAAGTTCTTTAGAAGTCTAGAATATTAATAGTAGCAACACAAAACAATGGGAATAATGAAAATTATAATAGAAGCAACTAATATAATTGAGGAGTTATTATGATCTACAAACTAGGCAAAATTCTTTACCTTCAGCACTTAATTTTACAGCAACCATATTTTTATTGGTATTATGCCCATTTTACAAACAGATTTGAAGAGGTTAAGTATTATGCTCAAAGTTGCCTAGCCAGTAAGTGGCAGAGCCAGTGGTCATAGGTTTGATTCGAAAAGTGGCGCTCATAGCCTCTAAGCTATAACAATGTAGTGTTTAACACATGGCAGGTGCTTGTCTAAGTGCTGTATACATATAGACTCAAGTTATTTTCTTGGCATCTGTGTAAGTATTATTCCTGTGCTGGATATGAAAGCTTACGTCCAGAGAAATTGAATAATTCAACCAATATCATCTGGGCAACCAGCAGCAGAACAGCAAGTTCAAAACCAGCGGTCTAGCTCTAGTTCATGCTGCTCTGCTATCCCTGGGGAACCAACAAAAGTGTCATTTAGACAGTCAGCTACAGATAATACCAAAGGAAAAGAAATAAGTAAAATACTTCAAGGAACCACTTGGTCAATCTACCTGGACTATAAGTGAACATATAAAAACAAAGTCTTGTTGGGAGAAAAAGCTTGAAAAATAAGTTAGGGGAAAAGTAGTACAATGAATTGTGAAAAAGAATTGCCTAGAAGAAAACTTAATAATTAAGTTGGTTATTAGTGGAGGGTTGTTCAATGTTTCTGAGATATCTGAGAAAAGCTGTACTTCATGGAGATTAATGTGTCTATGCAGGGCAGCAGGAACTGGAGCAGGTAGACAAGCAGAGAGGAAGCCTCATTGGAAGTTATGTAATGACCTAAATAAGAATGGAATAGAAAAGAGGGAACTATGGGAAACACTATGGAACATGTAGTAAATTAATTGGACCAAGCTCTGGAAATAATTCCAAAATTTTTCTCATTACATAAGACATTTTAGATAATCTAAAAATGGAAAGCTATTCAATATTAATTTTATCATATTTCTTTTTACTATAAATCATTTTTAATTCATCCACATAATGATAAAATCTTCAACTATTAAACATTTTAGATAATTTTTATGAAAAAACAATCTTCACAAGATTTTTAAAAAAGATTTAGAAAAGAAAAATAATATCTATATTTTCACTACAAATAAAATAATGTAAGATAATCATGTAATGACTACAGATTTTTTAGCCAAATGCTTGAACCATTTTCTAAAGAGATGTTTTAAATATAATATCACTGAAACACAGTGGTTTTTTACACCATTTTTTTAGAGGTGCCCATCTGTCAAAGGCAATTTTAGCCCTTGCTCCGGTTGCATAATAGTTTTTTTAAAAGTAGTTTGTATCTTTATTATTTGTCAGAAATTACTTCTTTGTTTGCAGAGCCTCTGCAGCTCCTCAGGGGAGCAGTGTAGGTTTGTGTGTGCTGTAATCCCCTGAGAATATAAACTTAGAGTTAAAGGAGGGAAGCAATGTGGGAAAGGGAGAGGGAAAAACAAAAACAAAAACAAAAACAAAAAAAAAACTTTCTGATTACTAAGAAACATCATCTTCCTTTTCCATAAATCCTCCACTGAATTTTCTATTTCTGCTCCCAGTAAAGCATTTAAAAGACACTCTATAGGAAGTGTGTAATTATCTTTTTTCTAATGTATTTTCTAGGCATTTCTATGTCCTCTGGCTTCCTAATTTTCTTTCTGTTCCTTTGGGTCTTTTAGCCAGATCCGAACAAGAAAATTTAGAGCGTATGTGAGACTGGAGGTCCAATGCAGGGGTCAACAATCTTTGCCTATAAATAAAAGGCCAGATAGTAAATATTTTAAGCTCTGTGGGCAATGTAGTCTCTATCATGACTACTCAACTCTGACATTGTGGCACAAAAGTGGCTATACACAATATGCAAATGAATAGAGTGATTATATTCCAGTAAAACTTTATTTATGAAAACAGGTGGCAAGGCTGGATTTAGCCCATGGGTCATAGTTTGCCAACTCCCAGTCTAATGTATACCACCTATTGTATTTGGGTCTCATGACAGATATCAGAATCAAATTTACAAGGAACATATTTCGGCAATGATGGCAAAAAGAAGTCCCTGGAATTTTAAGTTGGTTAAATTACCCAAGGCCACTTATTTCCTTTTCTCATAGGGGCTGCATGACACAGAGGTGGGATGAAACATTACATAAAACCATGTCAAATTTACTCTATCAATTCCCAGAGATGGCAGTTTGCATATACTTATTTTTGATTTCAAGCTCCTCCCGTCCTTTTAATTTAAAGATACATAAGTGATGCAGCACATTGCCAAATTGCTCACTGCAACAACTGAATGCCATTAAAGGAGAAAACAATCTCATTTTCAGCAGAGCCTCAGAAGTCTAGGTGATGAAGGCACCAGGCAGATGAGTGTCTTGCTAAATGATAAATGAGCTTGGATCCTCATATTTTTTTAGAAGAATGTAGGTACACTAATACCAATATTCTATAAAGCTACCTACTTCTGATGATAAATTCTTCTGTGTCACCTCACTGGTAGTGCTAGGTGTCTGCCATTTGTAATAATCTAGTATTGTAAGCTACTGTCAGATAAATATTCACACAAGTGCACTACTTGTTTTCTTCTGAAAGAACCTGTTAGCCTTCATGCTTTTGACAGACTCAAATTTAATGCATCCTTTAAAAATGTATTTGGCAGTAAAAATGTTGTGGAAATTGATCTTGTTATAAAATTTAGCACCTTAGATTTGACATTAAGGCCACTTAGAGACTTCAGCAATCAGTAAGGCATAGAGGGAACAACTGAATTTCAAGGTAATGGTTTGGAGGCCATAAAGTGAAAAATTGCAAGATGCTGCAAAACCTAATCTTTTAAGTTGGTCATTTATTTGTCAACTATTTCTGCTCCAGGATACTCCACATTTACAAATAAATAAATAAATAATGTCTTTTTCTATGACATTGTTTTAAATATGAGAGGAGTATACCTGAATCTTTTAAGATTACTCCAACTTCACAGGTCAGCAGGAAAACAAAAACCCAAGTCATACAGAAAATGACAAAAAAGAGTATAAAATAATAATTTAATAAATAAATATAAGAGGGTAATTATAACATTTAAAGTTGGACAGTTATAACCAAATCTGCTAGTGTGACTTCAGAAATAAAGAACTGTAAAATTAACTATTATGGACATGAAGAATAAAATAATTATCACATTAGCATCAGAAGGTGAAAAGTCTTATTTGTATTTGGTGCCTGTTAGAAGGTTGATTTTAATGACATGTGTTGTAGTCATGACACAATTCAATAGAAGGATAGATATAATACTTTGTGGAAAAGTGGAAAGTTCCTTGTTTCAAGGTTTCCTTTGGTCTGTGAAGGACAAACAGTTATATAGCTGTAATGGAACCTATTTCTCAGAGTTAAGCCTGAATCAGTCCTGACAGTGTAGGTTGTATAATTTCTGAAAAGTGTCATCTTTAGGCAAGAGTAGGGTCTGAGTAAAGCAGATTGAAAGGATTTCACTTATTGGCATGTGTAACATACTTACAGGGCCTTTTTGTTTACCCTGGAACTGGACTTTTATGGACAAGCTTAGCTTCTTGCTCCATCTTCCACCACATCCTGACTCTATAAGCCTGGCTTCGGCCTGTTCTATTTACTGTGCACAGAACATTATATGGGTTTCCGCACCTCCCTGATTTTACTCTGCATGGAATTCTTTCTGCTTTTCAACACCACTCTCTCTCTCTCTCTCTCTCCCTCCCTGCCCCCACCACGCCCACACACACGAACTCACACATTTACCTGTGATGGGATCTATTCAACCTATCAGGTCCCCAAATCAAAATTCACATTACCATTCCTTAGCTAACACCTTAAAAAGCAATGCTTAGTCCAGTCAGCCTTTAATGTAGTAGTTACATACTTGCCTGTCTCTTCTGCTAGATGGTAGGCCTTACCGAGGACATGCTAGTGTTTATTCTCATTTATTTTCTATATTGTTTTGCAAATAAGTGCTCAATCAAAAAAATCAATTAAATGACTGACTTTTATCAGCTAGATAGCTGGTTCTAAAGAGATGTGGAATCCCTGCCAGGAGCTGGACAGTTTTAAGAAATACCAGGAGGACTTTACATCATGGCATCAGTTCTGACTAGACTCCTTTACTGACACCGGGATGGGTGTATAGAGGAGGGGATTGTGCCACGTGCTTCTAAGCTAACCTCTACTCAATTTCCTTGATTGTTCGGACTTGGCTGTTCAGATTTGTTTGACTCTCATTATGAAGCTCTTTCAGACACATTTAGATAGGTGCTTTTCTCATTACCTATGTTGAGCTCTGCATTCTTTAAGACACAGCTTTCTCTACCAGGGTCAACATTGCTGTGGATATACGAAAAGAAGCATCCAAGCAAATACCGACTAGTTACTGATAGGGAAAATAAAGTGTATGTGTAGTAGTGATTACTGGTGATGAAGAATGGGGGAAAAAGTAGACACATTTAGAAAGGAGGGGGCTAAACAACATTAATTCCTGATACACGTTAGAGACTAGTTTTGTGCTTGTTCTGCTAGCTATTCTGTTTAATCAGCATGAATTCTTATACTATGTTGACAAATGTTCTAAGTGAGGTACTTTTTGAAAGAGGTATCAAATATTAGATTTCATTAAAAAATTAATTCTCAGCATTTATTTTTGGTGAAGACATATACTATTAAAGCTATTTTTGTGTATATGTGTAATAAATGTTAGTTACTATTTCTTATTTGAAAAAAAGTCTTCAAATGAATAAATTCCTCTAGCATTTCATATAAAAAATTACATAATCAAAGGCAATTATCAAACAATAAAAATATATTAATCCCATTAGCTAAACAGTAGCTTTCACTATTTTTATTAATGTGAAGAATTATATATAGAGAGAGTTCATACCATTAATGTATAGTTTAAAAATAATATTCATAAAATATTCATAAAGTACACAGATTAGAAAACAAGTCTGAATGCCCCCCATGCATCTTTGTCTAATCATATCCCCCATTATTCTCCTCAGATATATTGACCTGAATTGATTTTAATTCTCACCTTGCTTTTCTCTTATTGCATATATGTATCTCTTAATGATTAATTTGTTTAGTTTATTTCTTTCTAAACTTTAAAAAGAAGAGACTCATACTATGCATATTTTAAGTTTTAAGGTTTATTCATATTGATGCATGTAGCATAGCTTATTCATTTTCACTAATGAAAATATCAGAATTTTAAAAAGCCACTTTGTTGTATATAAACATTTGGATAGTTTCTCTTTTTTTTTTTCTTTTTTTGCTTTTATGAACAACATGAGCATTCTTGTGCTTGCTTCCTGGTGCTAGGTCATAAAGAATGAGAATGTTCAACTGTTTGAGATAAATTGTTCTTCTAGGCAGATATACTAAATTACCTAGTATGTTATTACTGTCCTTAGTTCTCCACGTTTTGCCAACTAATCAAGTATGAAATAAAATGTTATTATTGTTTTAATTAACATTTTTATTATTACTAATGAAATTTGTTATATTTTCATAAATTTATTGGGTGTTGCTACTTCCATTTTTTGGAAATGCTTGCATAACTATGCCTGTTTTTCTACTGTTTTTGCATTTATTTGTAAGAGTTCTTTATATGTTCTGGATACTATTTGCCATTTATATATTTTTAAAAAATCATCCACTGATTTGTGGTTCTATCTTTTCACTCTCTTTTGTGATGTTTGGTGAATAGAGGTTATTATTTAAATGTGGTAGAATATTTAAGTTTTCTTTTAATAGACCATGATTTTTATGTCTTATGTAAGAAATTCTTTTCTATTCCAAGGTCATAAAAATCTTCTCCTATGTTATCTTTTTAAAATGATATTGTTTCTCCTCCAGGTTAATTCAGCAGGAACAGATTTTACACATGGTATGTGAAGATATTTAGGTTTCATTTTTCCCCCTTCATGGATAACCAGTTTTATCAGTGCAATGTATTTAGTCTATTCTTTCACCTATAAATGTGCAAAACCATCTCATATAGAGCAGTTTTATAGATGTGAAGATCAGATTCCAAGTTTTCTGGTCTCTGTTTTTCTTTCTATAAGCCAATATAACACCAACTTAATTTTCATATCTTTTTAATTGAATCTTGGCACTGGTCACACAACATGTCTTGGTTCATTTTTCTCTTTGGTACCATCTTAGCTTACCTTGGTCTTGTTTTCCCACATAAAAATAGAATTGATATATTATTTGGGAAAGAATTAACGTCTTTATGATATCGAGTTATTTGTCTTGTTCATGGCCTATATCTCTATTTACTTAGCTCTTCTTTAATTACTGTCAATAAAGTTTAATATATTTCTACATACCTTTCACATCTTTTAGGCCTAGGTGTCCTATATTTATGTTACTTTAATACCTTACAACTTTTTAAAAATTATCAATGTCATTATTCTGTTTATATGTATTGTATAGCAACTTAAATTTTGGATATTCATGTCATATCCAGAAATATTTCTTATTTTTCTTATGTGTTTATATTATATCCAGAAATATTTCTAAAATTTATTATATTTTCTAATGATCCGAAGATTCTTTAGGCTTACAAATTTGGATTCACATGCACTATACTTAACAAAATATACAATTTACCAGTTTTTTTAACTGCTTCCTGAATAACACAGGGAACTAAGATTGCTTTAATTCTAATGTCTCTCAAATTGTATGCTGTTATTTAGGAGTTTTTCAATTTATTCCTAAATATAGATATTGAATTTATTGTTTTATGTGACATTTTGGCTTTAGATTTACCCATTTGTTTTCTATTTTCTTTCTTTTTTTTATTATACTTTAAGTTCTGGGGTATATGTACAGAACATGCAGTTTTGTTACACAGGCATACACGCACCATGGTGGTTTGCTGCACCCATCAACCCATCACCTACATTAGGTATTTCTCCTAATGCTATCTCTCCCCTACCCCCCCACCCCCTGACAGGCCCTAGTGTGTGATGTTCCCATCCCTGTGTCCATGTGTACTCACGATTCAGTTCCCAATTATGAGTGAGAACATGCGGTGCTTCTTTCAGTAGCTCTTGTAAGGCAGGCCTGGTGGTGACAAAATCTCTCCTCATTTGCTTTTCTGTAAAGGATTTTATTTCTCCTTCGCTTATGAAGCTTAGTTTGGCTGGATATGAAATTCTGAGTTGAAAATTCTTTTCTTTAGAAATGTTGAATATTGGCCCCCACTCTCTTCTGGCTTGTAGAGATTCTGCCGAGAGATCTGCTGTTAGTCTGATGAGTTTCCCTTTGAGGGTAGCTCAAACTTTCTCTCTGGCTGCCCTTAACAGTTTTTCCTTCATTTCAACCTTGGTGAATCTGATGATGTGTCTTGTGGCTGCTCTTCTTGAGGAGTATCTTTGTGGTGTTGTCTGTATTTCCTGAATTTGAATGTTATTCTGTCTTGCTAGGTTGGGGAAGTTCTCCTGGATAATATCCTGAAGGTTGTTTTCCAACTTAGTTCCATTCTCCCCATCACTTTCAGGTACACCAATCAAACATAGATTTAGTCTCTTCACATAATCCCATATTTCTTGGAGGCTTTGTTTATTCCTTTTCATTGTTTTTTCTCTAATCTTGTCTTCACGCTTTATTTTATTAAGTTGATCTTCAATCTCTGATATCCTTTCTTTCATTTGATCAATCCAGCTATGGATACTTGTGTATGCTTGACGAAGTTCTCATGCTGGTTTTTCAGCTCCATCAGGTCATTTATGTTCCTCTCTAAACTGGTTATTCTAGTTAGCAAGTCATCTAGCCTTTTTTCAAGGTTCTTAGCTTCCTTGCATTGGGTTAGAACATGCTCCTTTAGCTCAGAGGAATTTGTTATTACCCACTTTCTGAAGCCTACTTCTGTCAGTGCGTCAAACTCATTCTCCGTCCAGTTTTGTTCCCTTGCTGGAGAGAAGTTGTGATCCTTTGGAGGAGAAGAGGCATTCTGGTTTTTGGAATTTTCAGCCTTTTTGCACTGGTTTCTCCACATCTTTGTGCATTTATCTACCTTTGGTCTTTGATGTTGGTGACTTTTGGTTGGGGTCTCTGAGTGGATGTGCTATTTCTTTCTGTTTGTTAGTTTTTCTTCTAATAGTCAGGCCCCTCTGCTGCACGTCTGCTGGAGTTTGCTGGAGGTCCACTCCAGACCCTGTTTCCCTGGGTATCACCAGCAGAAGCTGAGAACAGCAAAAATTGCTGCCTGTTCTTTCCTCTGGGAGCTTCGTCCCAGAGGGGCACCTGCCAGATGCCCGCCAGAGATCTCCTGTACGAGGTGTCTATCAGCCTCTCCTGGGAGGTGTCTCCTAGTCAGGATACATGGGGGTCAGAGACCCACTTGAGGAGGCAGTCTGACACTATGCTGGGAGGTCCACTGCCCTCTTCAGAGCTGTCAGGCAGGGAGGTTTAAGTCTGCTGAAGCTGCACCCACAGCCGCTCCTTCCCCCAGGTGCTCTGTCCCAGGCAGATGGGTGTTTTATCTATAAGTCCCTGAATGAGGCTGCTGCCTTTTTTTCAGAGATGCCCTGACCAGAGAGGAGAAATCTAGAAAGGTAGTCTGGCCACAGCAGCCTTACTGAGCTGCGTGGGCTCCGTCCCGTTCGAACTTCCCAGTGGCTGTTAACACTGTGAGAGTAAAACCACCTACTCAAGCCTCAGCAATGGCAAATGCCCACCCCGCTCCACACCGCCACCAAGCTCGAGCATCCCAGGTCCATCTCAGACTGCTTCTGTGCTGGCAGCGAGAATTTCAAGCCAGTGGATCTTAGCTTGCTGGGCTCCATGGAGGTGAGAACCACTGAGCCAGACCACTTGGCTCCCTGGCTTCAGCCCCACCCCTTTCCTGGGGAGGGAACACTTCTGTCTCACTGGCATTCCAGGCACCACTGTAGTATGGGGAAAAAAAAAAAAAAAAAAAAAAACACTCCTGCAGCTAGTTCGGTGTCTACCCGAATGGCTGCCCAGTTTTTTGTTTGAAACCCAAGGCCCTGGTGGCATAGGCACTGGAGGGAATCTCCTGGTCTGCAGGTTGTGAAGACCGTGGGAAAAGCACAGTATCTGGGCCGGCATCCACGGTTCCTCAGGCTCAGTCCCTCATGGCTTCCATTGGGTAGGGGAGAGAATTCCCCAATCCCTTATGCTTCCCAGGTAAGGTGACACCCCACCCTGCTTCGGCTCACCCTCCATGAGCTGTACCCACTGTCTAGCCCAATGAGATGAACCAGGTACCTCAGTTGGAAATGCAGAAATCACCGTCTTCTGCGTCAATCTCGCTGGGAGCTGCAGACCGGAGCTGTTCCTATTTTACCATCTTGCCAGCAATCTGTTCTCTATTTTCTTATTTCATCATGTCTTCTTGCTTGCAAACCTTCTTTGGATAAATTTTCTTCTGCCTAACGTACATTATTTAGAAGTTCATTTTGTCAGTCTGTTAATAGTAAGTCTCTCAGTTTTTATTTACCTAAAATATTTTTATTTTGCCTTGTTACTAAATATACTATCACTGGTTATATAATTATATGTCATCAAATATTTTCTCTCACTATATTGATGATATTCCACTTGCTTCTAACATTGCTATTAAGAAATTAGCAAAAACAATAGAAAATTGTGTGAAGAAGCAGCTACAGTGCATGGCATATACAGAGAGGGATGAAAGGGCTGAGTAAACACAGCACCTTCAACTGAAATGCCCAGATACTCACACTGAGATTGATCAGGAAAACAACTTGACCCATGGAGTATGGAGAAAAGCAGGGCAGGGTGATGGGCTTCCCAGGAGTAATGTGGACGCAAGGGAACCCCCCTCCCCAGCCAAGGGAAGCAGTGAATGAATGTGCAACTCCCCCGGGGAAACCAAGCTTCTCCCATGGATCCTTGCAACCCTCGGATCAGGAGATCCCCTCCTGAACCCACTCCACCAGGGCCTTGGGTCCAACATACAGAGCTATGTGGAGTCTCAGCAGAGCAGCGGCTCAGCAAGCACAGAGACCCAGGACCTTTACATGCTCCAGTCCAAGGATCCCCGGAAAAGGCGACTGCAACTCAGGCAAGCCCGGAGGTCCATAATACCCCTTGGAAGGGGGCTGAATGCAGGGGTCTGAGCAGCCTCAGCCTGTGGCTTACCTGAGACTGGACCCAACTCCTTGGTGGGGGAGGGGTGGGCTGCCACCTTTACTATTTGAAGGATTCAGCCAAACAGGCTGCAGGCTTTGGAGAGCCCAAATGGCCTGGATGAGGAAGGGACCTTCCCCCGACCCCTGCCCCCAGCAAAGTGCAGCTGCTTTACCAAAATGCGGCTAGACTGCTTCTTTAAGTGGGACCCCAATCCATTCCTCCTCACTGGGCAGGACCTCCCAGCTGGGGCCTCCAGCCACCCTTGCCCGTATTCTATGGACAGAGTTCTTATTTCTCCCTGGGACATTAAGCAGGACCCTGATTCATTCCTCCTCACTGGCCGGGATCTCCCAACTGGAGCCTACAGCCACCGTCGCTGGTACTCTAGGCTGACAGAGTTCTTATTTCTCCCTGGGATGGAGTGCCTGGCAGGGAGGGGAGGTCTGCCACCTTTGCTGTTTGGGTGAATTGGTCATTCCAGCCTGTGGGCTTTAGAGTCCAAGATGATGCAGGTGGAGGCAGTTCCCCATCATGGCTTGGCTGCTTTATTGAGGTGTGGCCAGACTGCTTTAAATGGGACCCTATTCCATTCTTCCTCCCTGGGTGGGTCCTCCCAGCCACCCCTGCTTGAGTTACACCTCCTACAGAGTTCTAATTTCTCCCTAGAGTGCTTGGGGGTCGGGGTGGGCTGCCACATTTGCTGTTTGGGCATCTCAGCTGGTCCAGCCTGCAGGCCTTGGAGAGTCCAAGCTGATCAGGGCTGAAGGGATCCCCCAACATAGCACAGCTGCTCTACTAGAACTCAGCCAGGCTGCTTCTTTAAGCTGGTCCCTGATCTCATTTCTCCTGACTAGGGAGAACTCCCAACCCCAACTGGGGTCCCCAGCCACCTCCTACAGGTACGTTTGGGCTGGCAACCAGTCAGTAACCCCCTGGGATGGAGCTCCCAGAGGATGGGGCAGGCGGCCATCTTGGCTGTTTGACAGCCTTCACCAGTGATACCTCCAAGTACTGGAAAAGCTGCGGTGACTAAGGTCTAGAGCAGATGGCCAGCAAACGGCAGCAGCCCTATGGAAGAGTGGACAGACTGTTAAAAGCCAAACAAACAACACAAAAACAAGCAAACAAGCAAACAAAAAACCCCATCCAAAGATCAGCAACATCAAAGATGGAAGGCAGATAAGCCCACAAAGATGAGATAGGATTAGTGCAAAACCACTGAAAACTCAAAAAGTCATAGTGCCGCCTTCCCTCCAAATGACCACACCTCCCTAGCAAGAGTTCAGAACTGGGCTGAGGCTGAGACAGCTGAAATGACAGAAGTAAGTGATAGGGTTTGGCTGTGTCCCCACCGAAATCTCATCTTGAATTCCCACATGTTGTGGAAGGCACATGGTGGGAGGTAATTGAATCATGAGGGGCATGGCTTTTTCATGCTGTTCTCATGATAGTAAGTTTCACGAGATCTCATGGCTTTAGTTCACCTGCACAAGCTCTCTCTTTTTGCCTGCTGCCATACATGTAAGACATGACTTGTTCCTCCTTGCCCTTGGCCATGATTATGAGGCCTCCCCTGGCACGTGGAAGTGTGAATCCATTAAACCTATTTTTCATCCCAGTCTTAGGTACCTCTTTATCAGCACATTGAAAATGGACTAATACAGTAAATTGGTACCAGTAGAGTGGGGCTCTGCTGAAAAGATACCTGAAAATGTGGAAGTGACTTTGGAACTGGGTAACAGGCAGTGGTTGGAACAGTTTGGAGGGCTCAGAAGAAGATAGGAAAATGTGGGAAAGTTTGGAACTTTCTAGAGACTTGTTGAATAGCTTTGTCCAAAATGCTGATAGCGATATCGACAATAAAGTCCAGGCTGAGATTATCTCAGATGGAAATTAGGAACTTGTTGGAAACTGGAGCAAAGGTGACTCTTGTTATGTTTTAGCAAAGAGACTGGCAGCATTTTGCCCCTGCTCTAAATATTTGTGGAACTTTGAACTTGAGAGAGATGATTTAGGGCATTTGGCAGAAGAAATTTCTAAGCAGCAAAGCATTCAAGATGTGACTTTGGTGCTGTTAAAGGCATTCAGATTTATAAGAGAAGCAGAGCACAGAAATTCACAAAAGTTGCAACCTGATAATGTGATAGAAAAGAAAATCCCATTTTCTGAAGAGAAATTTAAGCTGGCTGCAGAAATTTACATAAGTAGTGAGGAGCCAAATGTTAATCACCAAGACAATGTGAAAAAATATCTCCAGAGCATGTCAGAGGTTTTCACAGCAGCCCCTTCCATCACAGGCCCAGAGGGCCAGTGTCCCCATGTTGTGTGCAGCCTAGGGACTTGGTGCCCTGCATCCGAGCTGCTCCAACCATGGCTGAAAGGGGCCGACATAGAGCTCGGACCGTGGCCTCAGAGTGTGCAAGCCTCAAACCTTGGCAGCTTCCACGTGGTGTTGAGACTGCTGGTGCACATTTGTCAAGAATTGGGGCTTGGGAGCCTCCACCTAGATTTCACAGGATGTATGGAAACTCCTGAATGTCCAGGTAGAAGTTTGCCTTAGGGGCAGACTCTCATGAGAACCTCTGCTAAGGCAGTGTGGAAGGGAAATGTGGGGTTGGAGCCCCCACACAGAGTCCCTACAGGGACATTGCCTAGTGGAGCTGTGAGAAGAGGGCCACCAGGAACTGTGAGAAGAGGGCCACCATCCTCCAGAGCCCAGAATAGTAGATCCACCAATAGCTTGTAATGTGCACCTGGAAGCTGGAGACACACAACGCCAGTTAGTGAAAGCAGCTGGGAGGAAGGCTTTACCTTGCAAAGCCACAGGGTTGGAGCTGCTCAAGGCTGTGGGAGCCCACCTCTTGCATCAGCGTGACCTGGATATGAGACATAGAGTCAAAGGAGATCATTTTGGAGCTTTAAGATTAGACTACCCCACCAGATTTTGGACTTGCATGGGGCCTGTAGCCCCTTTGTTTTGGCCAATTTATCCCAGGCTCATAGATGGAAGAGACTTGCCTTGTCTCAGATGAGACTTTGGACTGTGGACTTTTGAGTTAATGCTGAAATGAATTAAGACTTTGGGGGACTGTTGGGAAAGCAGGATTGGTTTTGAAATGTGAGGACATGAGATTTGGGTGGGACGAGGGGTGGATTGATGTGTTTTGGCTGTGTCCCCACCCAGATGCCATCTTGAATTCCCACATGTTGTGGGAAGAACCCAGTGGGAAGTAATTGAATCATGGTGGGAGGTCTTTCCCATGCTGTTTTTGTGACAGTGAATAAGTTTCATGAGATCTGATGGTTTTTATAATGAGGAGTTCCCCTGCTCAAGCTTTCTCTTTTTGCCTGCTGCTATCCATATAAGACATGACTTACTCCTCCTTGCCTTCCACCATGATTGTGAGGCCTCCCCAGCCACATGGAACTGTGAGTCCATTAAAACTTCTTTTTCTTTCCAGTCTCTAGTATATCTTTTTCAGAAGCATGAAAAGAGACTAATATAGTAGGCTTCGGAATGTGAATAAAAATGAACTTTGCTGAACCAAAGGAGCACCTTGTAACCCAATACAAGGATGCTAAGAATCATGATAAAACAATGCAGGTACTGATAGCCAAAACAGTGAGTATAAAGAGGAACATAACTGACCTGACAGAGCCGAAAAACACACTACAAGAACTTCACAATGCAGTCACAAGTATTAATAGCAGAAGAGACCCAGCAGAGGAAAGAATCTCAGAGCTTGAAGACTGTCTGAAATAAGACAGGCAGAAAAGAACAGTTAAAAAGAATGAAAAGGAATGAACAAAACCTCTTAGAAATAAGGGATTATATAAAGAGACCAAATCTACAACTGATTGGTGTACCTGAAAGAGACACCAATCAAGAATGGAAGCAATTGGAGAATGGAAAACATACTTCAGAATATCATCCAGAAGAACTTTCCCAAACTGGCTAGACAGGACAGCATTCAAATTCAGGAAATGCAGAGAACCCCAGTAGGATACTCCATGAGAAGATCATCCCCAAGACACATCATCATCAGATTCTCCAAAGATGAAATGACAGAAAAAATGTTAAGGGCAGCCAGAGAGAAAGGCCAGGTCACCTGCAAAGGGAAGCTTATCAGACTAACAGCAGACCTCTCAAGGAAATCCTAAAAGACAGAAGAGATTGAGGCTAATATTCAAAATTCTTGAAGAAAAGAAATTTCAACTCCAAATTTTATATCCAGCCAAATTAAGCCTCATAAGTAAAGGAGGAATAAGATCCTTTTCAGATAAGCAAATGCTGAGGGAATCCATTGCCACAAGACCTTCCTTACAAGAGACCCTGAAGAAAGGAATGGAAAAATAATTACCAGCCACTACAAAAACATGCTGAAGTATACAGACCAGTGACACTATGAAGCCACCATATGAACAAGTCTGAAAAATAACCACCTTGCATCATGTTGACAGGATCAAATCCACATATAACAATACTATCCTTAAATGTAAATGGCCTAAGTGCCCCAATTAAAAGACACAGAGTGGCAAGCTGGATAAAGAACCAAGACCTGTCAGTATGCTGTCTTCAAGAGACCCATCTCATATTCAAAGAAACACATAGTCTCAAAATAAAGGGAAGGAGAAAAAATGGAAAACAGGAAAAAAGAGGGATCGCAATCCCAGTTTCTGATAAAACAAAGTTTAAATCAACAAAGATCAAAGGAGACAAAGAAGGGAATTACATAACAGTAAGGAGTTCAATTCAACAAAAAAACCTAACTATCTTAAATATATATGCACTCACCCAACACAGGATCACCCACATTCATAAAGCAAGTTCTTAGAGACCTACAAAGAGACTTAGACTACCACACAATAATAGTTGGAGACTTTAACATCCTACTAACAATGTTAGACAGATCATTGAGTCTGAACATTAGCAAAGATATTCAGGACCTGAACTCAGCTCTGGAGCAAGTGGATCTGATAGATATCTATAGAACTCTCCACCCAGAAACAACAGAATATATATTCTTCTCATTGCCAATTGGCACTTACTCTAAAATTGACCACATAATCTGAAGTAAAACACTCCCCAGCAAATGCAGAAGAACTAAAATAGTTAGAAACAGTCTCTTGGATCACAGTACAATCAAATTATAGCTCAAGATTAAGGTATTCACTCAAAACCATTTAACTACATGAACAACCTGCTCTAGAATGACTTTTGGGTAAATAATGAAATTAAGGCAGAAATCAAGAAGTTCTTTGAAACTAATGAGAACAAAGATACAACATACCAGATTCTCTCGGATACAGCAAAAGCAGTGTTAAGAAGGAAATGTATAGTACTGCATGCTCACATCAAAAAGCTAGAAATATCTCAAGTTAATAATCTAACATCACAACTAAAAAAACTAGAGAACCAAGTGCAAAGGCACCCTAACACTGACAGAAGAAAGAAATAACCAAGATCAGAGCTGAACTGAAGGAGATTGAAAGACAAAAAAAAAAAAAAACCCCTTCAAAAGCTCAACAAATGTGGGAGTTGGTTTTTTGAAAAAATAAGGAAAAAGACCACTAGCTGGACTAATAAAGAAGAAAAGAGAGAAGATTCAAATAAAAAGAACCAGAAATGGTAAGGGGGATATTGTCACTGACCCCATAGGAATGCAAACAACCATCAGAGAATATTATAACACCTCTATACATATAAATAACAAAATCTAGGAAAAAATGGATAAATAGGAGACATACACCCTCCCAAGACTGAATCAGGAAGAAATTGAATCTCTGAATAGATCAATAATGAGTTTTGAAATTGAGGCAGTGATAAATAGCTTACCAGATGAATATTGCCAGAGGGACAAAGAAGAGCTGGTACCAGTCCTACTAAAACTATTCCAAAAAAATTGAAGAAGAGAGATTCCTCCCTAACCCATTCTATGAGGCCAGCGTCATCCTGATACCAAAACCTGGCAGAGATATCACCAAAAGGAAAACTTGAGACCGATATCATTGATGAACATCAATGCCAAAATGCTCAATAAAATGCTGGCAAACTGAATTCAGCGGTATATCAAAAAAGCTTATTTACCATGATCAAGTAAGCTTCATCTTCAGGACGCAAGGTTGGTTAAGCATATGCAAATAAATAAACATGATTCATCACATAAACAGAACTAAAGACAAAAACCCCAGGACTGTCTCAATAGATATAGAAAAGGCCTTCAGTAAAATTAAACCTCACTTTATGTTAAGTGTTCTCAATTAACTAGGTATTGAAGTAAGATACCTCAAAGTAAGAAGAGCCATATATGACAAACCCACCAATGATATCGTACTGAATGGGCAAAAGCTGGCAGCATTCCTCTTGAAAACCTGCACAAGACAAGCATGCCCTCTGTCACCACTCCTATTCTACATAGTATTGGAAGTTCTGGCCAGGGAAGTGAGGCAAGAGAAAGAAATAAAGGGTATACAAATAGGAAGAGAGGAAGTCAAACTATCTTTCCTTGAAGATGACAATAAGATTAGAGGAAGTCGATCTATCTTTGCTTGCAGATGACAATAGGAAAAGAGGAAGTCAAACTATCTTTGCTTACAAACTACCTTTGGTTGCAAAGGTTTCCTTTATCTACAAAATCCCATCCCAGCTATCTGAGTCCTACAACTTCTTAAGTTGATAAGCAAATTTAGCAAAATCTCAGTATATAAAATCAATGTGCATGAATCACAAGCATTCCTATACACCAACAATAGACAAGCAGGGAACCAAATCATTAATGAACTCCCATTCACAGGTGCCACAAAAAGAATAAAATACCTAGGAATACAGCAAACAAGGGAAGTGAAGGACTTCTTCAAGGAGAACTACAAACCACTGCTCAAAGAAATCAGAGATGACACAAACAAATGGAAAAAGATTCCAAGCTCATGGATAGGAAGGATCACTATCGTGAAAATGATTATACTTCCCAAAGAAATTTGTGGATTCAATGCTATTCCCATTAAACTAGCATTGACATCCTTTACAGAATTAGAAAAGTCTATTTTAAAATTCATATGGAACTCCAAAAGAGCCTGAATAGCCAAGGCAATCCTAAGAAAAAAAAAAACAAAACTGGAGGCATCGTGCTACCTGGATTTATATTACACGGCTACAAGTAATTGAAACAGCATGGTACTGGTACAAAAAAAAGACACATAGACCAATGGAACAGAATAGAGAACGCAGAAATAAGACTGTACATCTACAACCATTATATCTTTGACAAACCTGACCAAAAGGAGCAATGGGGAAAGGACTCCCTATTTAATAAATGGTATTGGGAAAACTGGCTAGCCATATGCAGAAAATTGAAACTGGACCCCTTTCTTACACCATATACAAAAATTGTCTCAAGGTGGATTAAGGACTTCAATGTAAAACCCAAACTATAAAAACCCTGGAAGAAAACCCAGGCATTACCATTCAGGACACAGGCACAGGCAAAGATTTCATAACAAAGACACCAAAAGCAACTGCAACAAAAGCAAATAATTGACCAGTGGGATCTAATTAAACTAAAGAGCTTCTGCACAGCAAAAGAAGCTATGAACAGAGTAAGCAGATAATCTACAGAATGGGAGAAAAATTTTGCAATCTATGCATCCAGCAAAGGTCTAATATCCAGCATCTATAAGGAACTCAAACTAATTTAAAAGAAAAAAACAACCTCATTAAAAAGTAGGCAAAGGACCTGAATATATGCACTTCTCAAGACATACATGCAGACAACAAACATATGAAAAAGAGCTCAACATCACTGATCATTAGAGAAATGCAAATCAAAACCATAATGAGATACCATCTCACACCAGCCAGAATGTCTGTTATTAAAAGGTCAAAAAAGAACAGATGCTGTCGAGATTGTGGAGAAAAAAATAATGCTTTTACACTTTTGGTGGGAGAGTAAATTAGTTCAACCATTGTGAAAGACAGTGTGGCAATTACTCCAAGACTTAGGGATAAAATACCATTCGACCCAGCAATTTCATTACTGGATATATACCCAAAGGAAGAGAAACCATTCTATTTTAAAGACACATGCATGCATATGTCCACTGCAGCATTATTCACAATAGCAAAGATATGTAATCAACCTAAATACCCATCAATGATAGAGTGGATAAGAAAATGTGGTACATATACACCATGGAATATTATGCAGCCATAAAAAAGAACAAGATCATGTCCTTTGCAGGGACATGATGCAGCTGGAGGCTATTATCCTTGGCAAACTAATGCAGGAACAGAAAAACAAATACCACACGTTCTCACTTATAAGTGGGAGCTAAATAATGAGAGCACATGGACACATTGAGGGAAACAACACACACTGGAGGCTATCGGGGGGCAGAGGGTGGGAGGAGGAATAGGATCAAGAAAAATAACTAATGAATACTAGGCTTAATACCTGGGTGATGAAATAATCTGTACAACCAACCCCCATGACACACACACAAAAAAAGACATTAACCATGAGTCTATCTCTTCTTGTGGGGAATTTTTGTGTCTCTGGTTGCTTTTAAACTTCATCTTTGATGTCCTACTATTTTTACCATGAGGTGTCTAAGTATGGATTTATTTTTTACTTATTCTACTTTGGATTTTAAGATTGACTAGATCTGTGGGTTAGCATTTTTTATCCATTCTAGGAGCTCTTGTAATTTCAAAAATTCCCTTTTCTCAATCCATCTAATTTTATTCTCAAACATTGATTATGATACACTGAACTTTCATACACTCTTCTCTATGTCTCAAATAATGTCCCATATTCCTCTCATTCTCAGGCTTCTGTATAATCTCTCAAATCTTTCTTGCAATTTATTTCTTTTAATATGATATTTGAATTCCTTGTTATAATTATTATATCTTCAGCTTCTAAAACTTCTGTATTCCAGTTTGGTCAAATTTTATTGCCTCATGTTTTCTCTTCTCAATTGCCTTTTTCTATTTATATACATATGTTAAATATACATATATCACTTCTGTCATTTTGATACGCACACTTGCATGTTTATGTTGATTCATATTCATGATGACTTATTCTCTTGTGTGATTAATGAAGTGCCAGCTGAGAACCCTTGGAACTCCATTGAGACCTGGGTTTAAAGTGCAAAGGTATACACACTTATATCTCCCAGGCTTCTGGGAGCATTGCCAAAGAGGCTGTAAGCAACTGTTTTATTTTCAGGGATTTGGATCAATTAGTATTATGAATATATGCCCAAACCCCATATAAATGGGCGACTTTTTTTTTTAATTTGACTTGGAGATAAGACACTTACAGGAAATTATTTTTGTCGTGTTTATCTCTTAAACAATATATATTTCCTATTTACCCACTAATGTGTCACCCTAAAAGTGATTTTAACATTTTGTGGGATTTTTTACATGATTTTTACCTTTCTTGTGCTAATGTGTACATCTCCTGCCCCAAGCGTATATGTAGCCTGCTAAAAATTAAACAGTTGGCAGCATGGGTAAGTAGAGACTCTGAGGAAAAACTTGGAGTCATTAACATACTTTCCAGAATCACACCTTGTAATCATTTGAAGCTCTTGAGGAATTCCTTTATATCTGCCCACCTATATAATTTTAAATATACATATATTTTAAAATAGTACTTATATAGTTTTAAATGTATGTATTTCAATATAGTATTTTGTTCCTCATTTTAAAGTCCAACACAATGTAAAAGAGCTTTCACCGAATTTCTCATCAATGGTGTTGTTGAGAACAACTTCTGTTTGTTCCATATTTTCCAGTCTTTATCCATGTGTAGAAGTAATTTTAAATTTATGAATTGCAATATATATACAACTATACAATAAGTTGAATATTAAATCAAATAATTTATATTACTTGAATAGGTTTCCCGATAATCTGGCCAATATACGACTGTTATGTACAAACTAGCTATTATATATTACATTGTAAAGTTAGTATCTTGGAGAAGATACATCTTTGAATATAAAAATTTAATTCAATTTTTTAAACCTACTGATTTCCTTAGTTACAGGCAATAAATAGTGGAAAATTTGATTTCCTTATAGACTTCAGTAAAAGTTAAGCAAAATTTCAACCTTTAGGAGGATTTGTATGACCCTGGCTATGCCGGAAAATTGATACAGTAAAATAGGAAGCCATTGTTGTTTGTAAAGTAAGAGATGATCTTATATTGCAATAAATTAGTGTAAGTACATGTCTTTTCACAAAATTTCATGTTACATCTTTACAAGGGTCAAAAACATTTTCAGTTAAAATTTAAAATTATGGGGGAGATGTTAATGGTACTATACAGAAAAAAACTAATATTGAGAAATAAAAAAACTTATGCCAGATTTTAATTTGCTTACTTGGTAAAAACAGAAAATGGAGTAATAAGGTTACATATCTAGTATTATATCTCTTCAAGAGTAAATTTACCCTTTTTGCATAATACGGAAAAATGTTGAATTACATTATATAGTTTTTTTTTTTCTTAAATTGCATGAGAGATTCTTAAAATATTAAGTCTCTTAGATACAAAAGACATTAAAGAGAATGTAAAATGGGTAACAGGAATAAATGCTTCTGAGGTGCTCATTTGGTTGTATCAAAGGTAGAAAAATCAACCAAATAAGTCAAGCTGCTTGACACTTTGACTAATATAAATCTATACCATGATGTCAATCTTGAATGCATTTTATTCTTCACAGTGAGTCCATGTTACTTGACCTATAACATTTCTTAGATGTTATGCAAATATAACATATGTGTTATATAACACAGTGTGCCATAATAGACGTATTATAATATAAATTTTAAATCATATGGCAAGTTGAATAGATTTGTCCTATATATAAAAGTCATACATATCACTTAATATCTGAAAAATCCCCATCATGTTGCACTCTATGTTTTAATAAAGGAGGTTATTGGATACCAGTAATTTCAAGGTGTTGCAGAGAGCAGGAGTTGCCACGAATGATTTATAGTCCCATCGGCATTGCCCTGCTTGAGGTTTATGAGATCATACTGTTCAATCAATTCCAAAAGCTACAAGGGGAAGCTCTGTGTATATAACTTGCTGGGGTTCACTCTGGCAACAAAATCCGTATGTTGCTAACATGGCTTTTTCTTAAAAGTGTTATGAAAAATAAATATGAAGTAAATAATCACATTTTCCATTATCCATGGAAACATTGATTATAAGTTATATCAGAACCCAGAGAATATTATTTTGAAGAGTCAAGAGAAGAAAATATCTGTATGCCAGCCTTGATTTGAAAAAAAAAATTTCCTCCACCATACATGCCCATTTCTTATCATGAATGTGGTTGATCATTTGAGACTATTTTTAAGCCATGGTTATAGTTAAGTGGATGATTGATATAAAAAGGAACATCATTAGAAAGTCATGGAAATTTAAGAGAGATGTTTAATCATCCTGTCAACTTTTGTAGTGAAAGTTATATTTTGAAATATTTTAGTTATATGCAATTATATCCAGGATTTATTCAACAGAAAATTTTCCCATTTACTGATGAAATATGTAGTTCATAAAATTACTGAAATCCATGAATCTTAAAAAGAAAAGAAAAGGACCTCCGTGAAGGCTAGTTACTTAATAAAAGTCTATTTGGCACTATTATCATTACTGGAATTACTATGAATATATGATTATCAGATGAAGTGTGCCCTAAAACAAGAATCCTTTTTTTAAAATCCATTCTTCACATTGGTGCTATGCACTTCAGCACAATATGTGAGGAAGGCCAGAGTCTTCAATCTTATAACTGTTCTCATTTTCTGGACAAAGAAACTGTTTTTTTCCCAATATGTTCTACCAGTACTATAAGTAAAATGAAAGGATTAACAAAACTACTGCATATATCTGGCCCCACTCTACCTCCAGCAATCCGAGGGATATGCCTTGACCTCTTTAAGTGCCTGCCAGTCTTAAAAGCCACTACAGTTGGAGTTTAGCATGAAAATGCACCTGTACACCTAGGGGAAGGAAGAGGACAGGCTATGACGGTTTTACAAAACAACATACCAACTCAGTAACCTGGAAACAGACCTTCTACATCTACTTTCTAAATCTTCTTCCAAAACCTAAAGGCAAAAGAAACTCTGCAAAATAAAACTTATCTTGAAAATAAGAAATACTTCACAATTCTTTTTTTAGAAAAAAAAAAAGCAATCATAATCCAAGCATTTTTATTTTTATCATATCCAATAGTTTTCTTCTATTTTCAAGTAAAGTAAAAACAGGAGACATTTAAACAGTTTATGAAGATTTGGGGAAATTTCTTCAGACTCCACCCTCTGCTCTGAGTAAAAATAAGTAAGTGACTATTGCATAGAAGTAAAAATAAAGGAGGCTTTGTTTCTGTTGTTATCAGGGTAATATAATAGCCAGCAGGTTTCAGGCAAATCAATGTTACTTGTTCTCCATTACAGTAGCAGTGAAGCTTAGACACTAAAGTGTGAAGCCACAAGACAAGGATTCCAATGTTGACACAGTGTAATACAAGGGGCAGGAAAGAGGAGGAATAAACAAATTAAAATGCTAAATGGAGTATGAAAGCACATAGTGAAATGTTAACATCAAATATCTGGGAGATGGGAAAACACTGTATGAAAACTATACATAACAACAAAAAAGGAAAGACAGTGAGACTAGGAAGAGTTGGATGAAAATCACAGATGTGACTCAAATAGGACATAATAATGGTAATATCTGTCCATTTTTATTATGACAAAAGCAGAGCCTAAAGCAAAGATTTGAGTGCAAGTAGTTTATTAAGAGGAGATCCCAATAACCAAAACAGAAGGAGTGGGCTGAGTGAGAGAAAGGGAAAAATGCAATGAAGGGTGTGCTAATAAGCCAGCTACTATTTGGGAAAGAGGAGCTCATTCTCACTCCCTAAGGAACCATGTTGAAAGCGCTTCAGAACTGCCCCGCCAAAGGAAAGAGACACTGGGACATTTATCTATAGACTGCTGTTCCCCAGGACATTGAGTACCCTGGAACCTCTGGGTTATGTCTATGTGGACTTGAGTATCTTAGACTTCAGGGAAAAACAACAAAACAAAACAAAACAAAACAAAACAAAACAAAGCACCAGGCATATACTTGATGTTGAACCTTGCAGTGTGCCTAGAATCATCAATTTCAGCTGGGTTGAAATAAGATGTACCAAAGAGATGTAGTTCTAATATATCATGAGGGTCTAGTATGCATATATATATATACATATACACACACATCTAAAATTAGTTCATTCTCAAAGAAACCTAGGAGGCACCTATTATTATCATTACCATTTTACAGATGGAAAAGCTAAGGCACATAAGTAAATTACCAGAAGTAAAACAACTAGTAATGGTCAGAGCTGGGATTTGAACTAAAATACAGTTTCAAAAGACTATGTATTTTTGACATAATAATTGTTCCTAAAAATTTACAAAAATCAAATGATCTTCATATCCTAACAGCATTATGATGTTTAAAATTTAGAGTATAGAGCTACTTACAGAATTAATCTTTATTTACAAAGGATATGGCATGTCTCCTAGTAATGCCTACCTATGGTGTCAATAAAAGGACAACACTCCTTCCCCCAAAAATTGAGACAGTCATTATATGGAAAAATTGAGGTTTCAGTTCATTCAGACTGGTTAATAAATAGAAAATCTTTTTTATTCTTACATACTTTGAACATTAGGGGAGGTTAAATTCATTGTCATTGCTTTGGGGACTTCTGACAGTCCTACGTGTGAATACAGGTTAGTTAATATGGGGAGCCATGCATGGCATATGCAGCACAGAAGATATATGGTCTTTCAAGAAGGTCTCTTGCACTATTAAATCCAAAAGGCACCATATGCATCAATTCATTCAACTTTCTCTAAGATAATTATGGTCTTCAAAGACTTGGTGAATGTATTTTACCTTTTTCATTATCAAGACAAATTTTGTTTCCTCTGTAAATATTCTCATACCTCACTTTATTCTGTTTCATCTTCAAAAGCAATCTATTCTGTAAATAACTTTGGTGTTTCACTATGTAATCATCTTAGGCCTGAAGTTCTTAAAATGATAAAGATCAAGTTTTGATTAAAACAAGTTGTAGGCGTAAAATAGTGAGTGAGATATAGATGAGTTACAAGAAGGAAATTATAATTTTGTTTCATAAAGCTCAAGTTTGCTCAAACTGTGCTTTTTTAAAACATTTTGTAATGATTTCAGAGTACTAAGGTATCATGCCAGTTAATGGTTCAAGAATATTGGCAAGGTAATCATTAGAATATTATCAGAAAAAGTATCTACATGCAATTTTAAGCTGAGTATATATACATTTAGTTATTTTAATAACTGAATATATAAAAATTTTGCTCTATTATGAGCAAATGCAATAGTTAAGTTATAAAAGGCATACATTAAAGATAGAACTAAGCAAAAATATGAAATAAGAAACTTAAAAATCAAGATAATACAAGTCAAAGATGTTAAAACAAAGAGACAGAAAAAAAATTTCAAGTATTATGATGAAATTGCCATGGAGCAAACAAAATTCCAGGACTTGAATTCTACACGATTTTTCAAAATTTTCAGAATTCTTTAGAGAGTTCCAGAAATGGTGAGTTTTCTCTTTATTAACTTTGTTCTTTATTTTTCATACAAACAGATATATAACTGTGGCCAAGGAAATCCCAAATAGAGACTAGATGTCCCAGACTCCCTTGCAGCTAGGTAAATAGAGACATGTGACCAAGGTCTGGCCAATGTAAAATATTCTGTGGCAGTTTCTAAAAAACATTCTTAAGACAGTATGAAAGGTTATCTCTCGTTCTCTTTTCCTTCAGCCAGCTGCATGAAAAACAGATGCTACTTTCACAGACCTTAATATCAAAGTCATGCAGGATAGAGCAACAAATAGAAGGAGCTGATGTATGAAAAACTGCATCAGCCCAAAAACCATCCACCTTGATTTTTCATGTGAAAGAGCAATACGATTTCATCTTGTTCAACTTACCTTTATTTGGGGATTTATTTTTTCTGCCCCTGAACCTAATCCTAGTGGATACAGAGACAGTATCTAGCAATTATAAAATGTTGTTATTCTTACTTCAGATGACATGTCAAATGGCAAATGCTGGCTTAAGCAACCTTTCCTTTTCAATCCATTTTTACATTCAGGAGATTCCACAATGTCAGCAGGATGCAAGGTTGGAGGAGACAAAAGTCCTCATTAAGATTTTAGTACATTTCCTTCTAGTCTTTTTTTTATGCCTAGGTTTTTGATCACATAACTGTAATTATGTTTATGCAACTTTTTATTATAATCATTTTTCTACAGTATGATACAGGCTTAATAAAAATTTCAATGGCTATAAATTGTTAAATTATGTGGTAAATACATTTAATAGCTATATAATGTGATAGGGAAATAAAAATAGCCTTAATAACCAGCTCAGTGAGTAGATTTGGAGATAGACTCTAGAGAGTTGTAGCTTAAGCAAAAACTCACTGAAACACATAATGCCCAAGAAGCAGAGAACAGGAAAGCTGAATCCATAGAGTAGGGCTGAATCCAAGGTCAAGGAAAATATTGGTACCAGATGCCAAATATGTAAAGGCCAAAGACAAAAGAATCTGTGTTCATAGCCAGAAGCTCAGAGCTCAGGGGCAAGATCCAATGGCAACAGATCAGTATCCCAAAAATATGTGTGTGGTTGTGTGAAGATGGAGGAAACAGGGCCATAGCCTTTTAGAAGATTGTTCTAGCTTAAATGGTTAGGTATGGTGGGTAGAGTTAAGATCTTTAATATACTATTGTTATATATGTAGGTGGTTTTTGATTTTTCATTGTAAATAATATTTCAATAAAGAAAAGTAAACAGAACTCACTACATACACATATACACACACACACTCAATTTTTAAGATTATTTTAATAAATTATTTAAGAAAAGTGGAATTGCTAAGCCATTGTATAGTTTATGTTTTTGTTAAATCTGTTTACAAAATTCTCTTAAAAATAAAGATAGCCTTATAAATCCTTTCCATAAAGGCTGTAACAAAAAAGACTGTCAACAGTAATGGATTTGGCCTCCTTTAATCACAGTGGGTATTAGCAGAATAATTAAAGGGGGGGAAATCTTTTTTTTTTTTTTTTTGAGACGGAGTCTCGCTCTGTCACCAGGCTGGAGTGCAGTGGTGCGATCTCGTCTCACTGCAGCCTCTGCCTCCCGGGTTCAAATGATTCTCCTGCCTCAGCCTCCTGAGTAGCTGGGACTATAGGCATAAGCCACCACACCCAGCTAATTTTTGTATTTTTAGTAGAGATGGGGTTTCACCATGTTGGCCAGGATTGTCTCGATCTCTTCACCTTGTAATCTGCCCGCCTTGGCTTCCCAATGTGCTGGGATTACAGGCGTGAAAAAATCTTTATTTGATAAATGATAAAGTCAATGTTTTTCTGGTTTACTTCATTTTATTTTATTTATTTATTTATTTTTGGACGGAGTTTTGTTCCATTGCCCAGGCTGGAGTACAGTGGCATGATCTCAGCTCACTGTGACCTTTGCCTCCCAGGTTCAAGTGATTCTCCTGCCTCAGCCTCCCGAGTAGCTGGGATTACAGGCATCCACTACTATGCTCAGCTAATTTTTGTAATTTTAGTAGAGATGCGGTTTCACCATGTTGGCCAGGCTGGTCTTGAACTCCTGAACTCAGGTGATCCGCCTGCCTCGGCCTCCCAAAGTGCTGGGATTACAGCCATGAGCCACTGCACCCAGCCTGGTTTACATTCGTTTAATTCAGAATATGCACATTTTCTTAAACTTATATCGTGATTTCAGTTATTCTATAAATTGCATATTGATATCCTTCACCTATCTCTCACTGTATTCTAATTCACTGATGCAGTAGCATATAAATAGTAAAACATATTGAATATCTTTTTTAACACATCTGTATTATAGTTCACTAGGTTGCCATAACGAAATGCTATAGAATGGGTGCTATAAACAACAGACATTTATTTTCTTACAGTTGTGGAAGCTAGAAGTCCAAGACTAAGTTGTCAGCAGATTTGGTTTCTTTTAAGGCCTTTTTCTTTGACTTGTAGCTGGCCATCTTCCTGCTGTGTCCTTAGCTTAGTTGCCTCTCAGTCTATGTATTGTCTGTGTCCCGATTTCCTTTTCTTATGATGATACCAGTCGTAATGGAGTAGGGCCCATCCATATGACCTCATGTTACCTTAATTACCTCTTTAAAAGCTGCGTCTCCAGATACAGTCACATTGTAAGGTACTGGGGGTTAGGAATTCAACATATGAATTTTTTGGTACACAGTTCAGTCCCAAACAACATACAGATGCCAAAAGCCTGAATTTATGTTGTATTAAAGTAAGTAGGAGATATATATATACACATATATATACACACACACACATATACACACACATATATATATACACCTATATACACACACGTATATACATATATACACATATATATGTGTGTGTGTATATATATATTTTTTTCTCATTTTTTCAACAGAGGCTTTTAGGCAAGAAAGTGAAATAATTGTAATTATTTGGGGATAGTTAATCCTAACAATATTGTAGAGGGCAGAGTCTATAATGAAAAAATGGAGATGAGTGACCAACTGTGAGGCTGCTGCTACAGTTCAGGAGGAAGAGCCTGAGGTCCTCAACCATGCTGAGGCAAGGGTACCAGGTGAGGTAGTCATTCAGGGGAGGTTTTCTATTTCTTAGACAAGTAATCTGCAACTTTCTCCCAACTAGAACAAGCCTGGAGGATATAACAAAATCCCTTTGGTTGTAGTGACTTGTGACAGCAATTATTTGGGAGAATGATTGAGGTTCTAAAGGCCTCGTGTTGTCCTGTTGGTTCTCTTAGGCCCACCCCACCCCTAGATCTCATGACTGTCTCCTTCAAAGGTATTGCCTCAGCCTCCCCTCAACAGTTATCTCAGCTGGATTGACATGAGCTTGATCCTAGGTAGCTGACAGTTTGAAATCAAACTAGTGCCTGAAATTACAATAACTAAATTTTATTGGAAAAAATTCTCTGTGTGTTTTACATAAATTTTGTGTCAAATGACCTTCATGATTGACCTTTTCTGAAGTGTGATTGATACAATTATAAGTGAGTTATTTTAAATAGGCTCTTCAGATACCATAGCAACATCACATGATTAGATGAAGTTGGAAATATCAGCAGTAGCCTTAAGGCTGGGATTCACTAATTTTCCAAGAGTAACTTTCTCCGTGCTAATTATTTGCTTATAATAAATGCAAATGTATTTCCCTATGGTACAATAAAAATGACTATTTTTTTTTCCCAAGCACTAGGCATCTACAATTAGTTAGGATTGGCTTAGGGCTAGTCAAAAAGCAGATGCCAAAGGAGTTTGTTAAATGATAGCTGAGATATATTAAAAGTCTGATTTGTGTTACCAGGTCTTGGACTAGGCATTTGCCTAGTCCAAAAAACTAATATAAATAATATTAGTTTTCTCAGTCTGTCCTCCCAACATTAAAATAGAGATTTGAAATCTCCATTCTACCTTGTAGGAGATTGAAGCTCTGAAAGGTAATCCAAAGATGGAGGGTTAACAAGTGTAAAGGCTTAGAGTTAACCCACATCTTTGAGTAACAAGGACTAATTTGCTACTCTGAGGAGCTTGGATTTTAGAAAGCATTTGTGGGTGCCAGTCTTATTATCTAAAAATATTTTTGTTTGTCAAAGTTCAGACAGATTAAGTTAATTGAGATGCTAGTAAATTAATTTAAATTAAAATAGTTTTGGATACTAGCACTTCCATCCTATTCAGTAAGCCATAGGATTCATCCACAGGACAGCTGGGCAACATGCTATTTTCTGTTTCTACCACAAGGTTAAGATTAGTTCTAATAAACCTTGAACCACAAGGGGATCTTAAGAGATCTTTAGCTGCTATAAAATTCGAAAGAGGCTTAATCATGGTCTATGATTCATATTAATAGCTTTTTATGAATCTCATGGAAAGCTCCTTCTGGGTCTTTGGGAAAGATTTAGTTTAGGAAAAAAAAAAAAAACTTTGTTTCTCTGAAGTACATTACTTGTCAGGCCACTGAAAAGGTAATAGTTAAAACAGGTTCATATTGATAAACCAAAGAAAAATGTTAAATTTCCTATTTTAGAACTCATTAAAGAGATTTTTGATTGGAATAGGACTTAAGTTATGTACTTTATTTTTTCTATTTAATAATGTAGATGTTTCAAAATAGCATGACTTTTAGTACATGTAAGCAACTTCTAAGTGATATTTGGAAATATAAATTGTTCTGTTAATAAGGAAAATATTTGTGTGAAGGAATAATTTCTGAAGAGGTGAAATCATTACTCTCAGACAAATATCACAGGAACCTGTGTCAAGAATTCTATTTAACTAATTAATTAATTAGAGAACCAGTGATATTATGATCAGTTCAAGCAACATTTAAGAAGCTAGGCTATTTATAGTCGATTTAACAAGAAATATTAGGATAAGATACAAACTGGTTAATTTCTAACAAGCTATCAATCTTTGTGGTTATCTGTTCCACTAGGCAGGAAATATTAGCATCTCTACTGAAGAAAATCTGCTGTTAACAAGCAAACTCAGGAGAAAACAGTGAAATGAACCACATACATCTCTAGAAAAACTTTGGGTAGCTGTTGCCCTGTGTGATATGTAATGATTGTGTTGCCCATCCTTTTGCTTTCTTTCAAAGATTTGGATAATTTTTCCGGCAACGAAATGCTTAAATTCAAGTTTATGTAAAGTTTATGTAAAGATACATTTATTTAACTATTCAAAATTGTCTGCTTTTCAACTTATCATAGGTCGAAATATAAATTAAAAATTTACCCTGTCTTTAAATAGCTTACAGTTTAAAAAGGAAATAAATATACAAATTATTATGGTAAATATCATAAAAGAGATATAAATATGTGATTGCAGTATTTCGAGGTAGGCCAGTGATTTAAGGTTTCAGTGACCAGGAAAGTACTTCAGAGAGATCAGTTGAGATATAGTGCATTGAAGAACAGATAGGACATATGAAAAAAGCCTGGAATCGAGTTAAAAAAAAGTATATATATATATATATGTATATATATATACATATATATATGTATATATATACATATATATGTATATATATATACATATATACATATATATATATATATATACATATATATATATATATATATAAAACCTCCATTTCTCTCAATATAACCTTTGGAGCATTTCCTTCTATCTGCATTTCTAGATGGGGGAGTGTTATACATCTTAGTGTTGGACATGCAACATTGCGACCTGCTTGTTCACTTACATAAGCACTTTTCTACAGGTATTTCAAGCTCTAGGATTTTGAATGTGGAATGAAATAGAGGTAAGGTAGTCAATTTCATAAATGGTGTTTCATAAAATGTGGGCTACAGGCTACCTGCATCAGAATTAAAAGACTTGTTGAAAAGACAGTTTCCTGAAACCACTTCCCCAAAATACTATCTTGCCTTGACTTGTACCCCAAGTACCTGAATATAACATGGCAATTATGATACTCAAGCAATTATTTACTAAACTGAACTGCAGGAGCTAGTATGGTCACAGACGATTGGCCAGAGGTAGTGATTATTAAGAGTGTGCTGCCAGTCAGTAACCCAAGTAGAAGAGAAATGCAAAAGTATCTAACAAATACCAATTATGGAAGGGCAGTGACTTTTCAGTTTAGTAACAATAGAATTAGCTCATAACATTAAGCAGAAAAAATCATTTTAAAGTCTTTATTAAATATATTCTGACCTCTAAAATGTAATTGATTGATTTACATTCATTGCTCTGAAGTAACATACCTATATATGTTAGTAACTTACAGATTATTGAAGAAATATAGTTAAAAATAAAATATTCTCCCAATCCGGAAACCCTCTCCATGAAGGAAGTAGAGAAAGAAAACACTTTTATTATTGAATGATCACTAAACCAAAATATGATGCAGATCACAGGTAATCCACTAGGAGATTACAAAGACAGAAAGAAAACTCCCTGTTTTATATAGCTAAGCAGATACATCCTGTTACGTACATGTTTTCGAACATAAACAATAGCCAGTCCTCAAGTAAGAGTACTTGAGGACTGTTTGTCACACATACATAGCTCATCCTAACTTTACATGGTAATTGAGTTGACTGTGTGGTAGCTAATTGACTAAACCAGATGAAAACAAACTTCTCATATCTTTATGACAAGGCAGTTCTGCAACTTAGAGTGAAATGCCCACCAAAGTTAGCTCCCAAGTGCCTGAGAAAGACAGTCCTAGGTCATAAAGCTGACAATAGGCCTACTTAGTCTTCAAAAGGATTTTTGGACATTTCGAAGAGTGGATAAAGTATTTACAAATATAAGTTTTCTAAAGTAAAGTCTCTGAGAAAATGGAGAAGAAAGAAATCTCTTCCCTTATTTTCAACAGTGAGAATTTAGTCTCTTATTTTTCATTGTATTTGTCCTTACCCTATAAAAAATAAACGTTAGGAAAAACATGGTGAAAACTTACAAAATAGAAGATAAAGTTAGAACCACTTCTTCATCTAGGTTTGTATAAAATGTTCAAATATACTTTAAATAAAATAAAATTTTTCTTAATAAATGTTTGAAATCAAGGTATATTTCTCAAGAAAAACTATGACAGTTGTAATTTACTTACACTCTTTCTCCACAACACTAACACAAATTTGATAGCTATCATATTACTAGAACAAAATAGCATCTTTTTTTCTAAAAGTTATTGAAGGAAAAATTATTGTAAATGTAATTTTTAAGATGTGTTGCACTTTTTAAGCAATAAATTAATCAACAATATCCTATGCTTATCAGGTATATATATATATATATATGTACTTACAAGGGCTATATCATATTTAGAACTACCAAATTCCACAGTGTTTCTTTTTTGGAGTTCTTACCTTGTGCAATTATTTAACAGTTACAAGGAAAGTCTGCTATTTTGAGAAAAATGAGTTATAAATATATATAATCATTACAAGACTTCTTAGTGGATAGAGAAATTTGTATTTGCAAATCATTTATTAGTAGTAGTTTTAAAAGTTTAACTCTTCTTTCTCAATGGAAATATTTTCAAATAGGATGAGTTGGATAGCAAAATACAGCTCAGGGCAGACTTTTCTGAGCTTATTCTCAACATATAGACACCACCCATGCCCTAGGTAACCGATCAGGAAAGTAGTAATACATGAATGAAACACGTCTATGTGACTCATTTTATGGAATTTATAGCCACTTTGGGGTAAAGGTAGCAACTGTGGTTAGATTTTCTATTATATGATAGATTTACTTATACATTTACATATAGAATATTCCCTATGGAGCATGCAATTTAATCAGTAGTCTATAATTTAGTCTATTTTACTCTTGCCTAGTGTATTAGTCTATTCTCACATTGCTATAAAGAAATACCTGAGACTGGGAAATGTATAAGAAAAGGGTTTAATTGGCTCACAGTTCTGCAGGCTGTACAGGTGAAGCATAGGATCATCTGCTCTTGGGGAATCCTCAGGGAGCTTTTACTCAGGGCGGAAGGCCAAATGGGAGCAGGGACTTCACATGGTGAAAGCAAGAGCAAAAGAGGAGAGAGAGAGGTGCCACACACTTTTAAATGACCAGATCTCATGAAAACTCACTATCACGATGACAGCACCTAGAGAATGGAGCTGAACAGTTCATGAGAAATCTGCCCCCATGATCCAGTCACCTCCCACCAAACACCACTTCCAACATTCAGGATGAGATTTGGGTAGGGACGAGTTTCCAAACAATATCACCTGGAAATGATAGTTACAATTGTAGTAAAGAAACAAGAGGTGTGCTGCATCTATGAAACACTACTGTTCTTTGGAAAGAATGGTGTATAGAGAGGCTTTCTCAGATTTATTCTCTCCACGTTCACCACCAACGACCTAACCAACCAGTAGTAGTTTAGTGAGAAGTGTTTTAAAATTCCATTGGCACCAACTCTGATCTCAAAGGTGACATGAAGAACTGTATCCCTCATTGGGCCGTGTGCAGAGGCTCACGCCTGTAATCCCAGCATTTTGGGAGGCCAAGGCGGGCCGACACAAGGTCAAGAGATCGAGACCATCCTGGCCAACATGGGTGAAACCCCGTCTCTACTAAGAATACAAAAATTAGCTGGGCGTAGTGGCATGCACCTGTAGTCCCAGCTACTCGGGAGGCTGAGGCAGGAGAATCGCTCGAACCCGGGAGGCGGAGGTTGCAGTGAGCCAAGATCATGCCACTGCACTCCAGCCTGAGCGACAGAGCAAGACTCCATCTCAAAAAAAAAAAAAAAAAACAAGGAACTGTATCCCTCATTTTGAATCAGAACTGGGTAGTGAGGACCTCTGCTATCACTGAGTATTGGCAAAATGGGTAAATACTTATATATGTTTGGCTTCAAAAGCTACACGTTTTTGAATTATTTTTACAAGTGTGAACTCATATGTCAATCATGTTTATTTTTAAAAGGCACATTCTATATGATTCAATAATTCCGAAACAAAATATGTCATGAAATCTACCATTTTAAGTAAAAACTGAATAATTAAAATATCTAGAGTTTATCTTGTCAAGTAGTTTTTTTCCTTCTAAGCATGTAATATTTATGTAAATCAGCCTGCAGCAAAAACAATATAAAGCAGATACAATTTCCAAAGTGAGCATATTGGCATCTGTTGATTAATTTAATTCAGCGAATATTAACTGAACAGAGATCAAGTGTAAGGTGCTGTATTACAAAATTCAGGAAATAAGAAATGAACAATTACAAGGAAAATAAATAAAGATAGTCAAATAACTAAAATGTACGGCAGAATATAACAAAAAGCTAGCTTTACATGATTTCAGAAGAAGGACAGTGAACAGGAGTATCAAGAATATATGAATGCTATTAGCTCCTTCATTTAACTATAAATTAATATTGATTGATTGATTGAATTTCTACTTTGTGCCAGACACTGTTCTGGTCATTGGAGTTAACTAGGGAATAAGACAAAGTTCTTGCTTTTATGAGATTTTGTATTACCTGTGATTTTTCATGAGCCATAAGAAACATAAAATATCAACAAAGGTACTAGAAGTGAGGTCATTCCAGGCAGTAGGTTATCACAAGGATCATTATAAGAATGTGTGGGAATGGGAAAAATAAAGAACCTGTTCATCTGATTTATAAGATAGATGCAGGAATTAGTAAAATATGGGATGGGAAGATCAGAAAAGCTGAAATATGCTGAAAATTATACTAATTTTAATAGGAAAGCAGTATTTGCTGAAAGTTTTTGAGGAGAGAAATATTATAATGGAATGTACTTTAGTGAAGATTTAAAGTGTAGGATAAATTAGAGAGGTCGGAACAGAGGTTGGATGATGCCAGTTAATAGCTTATTTTTATAGTCCCAGGGAAAGGTAATGATATATTTTGAGAAATATGGTAATTTGAGGCCTTTAAAGTATATTTATTTTTGCCTGGGAGGTAGAACTTTATTTCCAGTAGTCTTCTAGAAACAGAATTAGAAAGTAGAAACAACATCCTTCTCCTTCATCCCTGTACCCTAAAGGCAATAGGATAAATTTTAAAACAGCTCAGATTTTAAACCTATGTGAATATGAGCAATGGAGTAATTCTCATTATCTGAAACAGAAAAGATTGACACTTAAGCATATTAAAGAAAATCAAATAGAATTAAGGGTTCATTCGATAGAAAGAGGTGAGAAATATCAAATATAATAGATCAAATGATAATTAGAAACATATATTAAAAACTAAATCTTGGGCTGTTTGATAAAAATGCACAATAGTGGTTAATATAATTTAAGTGCTTCTTAAAAGAAATTAATCCAAATAAGCTTTCTATATGCATGTGAAAAGAAAAAAATAAAGGCCTAACAATTACTAATACAAAGATGCATAGCACATGAAGATATCAATAATAGTATAAATAGGCTGGGTGCAGTGGCTCACGCCTGTAATCCCAGCACTTTGGGAGGCTGAGGTGGGTGGATCACTTGAGGTCAGGGGTTTGAGACCAGCCTGGCCAACATGGCAACCCCGTCTCTACTAAAAAAATACAAAAATTAGCCAGGTGTGGGGGTACATGGCTGTAATCCCAGCTACTCGGGAGGCTGAGAGTAGTTCAAGGAGAATGGCTTGAACCCTGGAGCAGAGGTTGCAGTGAGCTGAGATCACCCCACTGCACTCTACTGGGTGAGGGAGTGAGATTGTCTCAAAATATAATAATAATAATAATAATAATAATAATAATAAAATAGATATAATTCATATACCATGCCATTTGTCATTCTAAAAAATTTGGTAAATTTTAATATATTCACAAAGTTGTGCAACCATCACCAAAATCTAATTCCAGAGCATTTTTATCACTTCGAAAAGATACCCTGTACCCATTAGCAGTCACGTCCCATTCCTCCTCCACCGCCCCCAATCCCTAGCCATCTACTTTCTGTCTTTGTGAATCTGCCTATTCTGGACATTTCATATAAATGGAATTGTATAATTTGTGGCTCTGTATCTGGCTTCTTTCACTCAGAATAATTTTTTCAAGGCTCATGAATTTTTTAACATGTATCAGAACTTTGTTGTTTTTTATGGCTGAACAATATAAAATGTGGTATATCTGTAATCTATACAGATAGATTATCTATCTGTAATCTATACAGATAGTTTATCTGTATAGATTATATGTATCTATAGAGATAAGTTATAGATTATCTGTATAGATTACAGATATACCACATTTTGTTTATGCATTCATCAGTTAATGGACATTTGGGTTATTTTCACTTTTTGGCTGCTATGAATAATGCTGTTATGAACATTTGTGTACAAGATTTTGTGTGGACATGTGTTGTTAATTCTCTAGGTATATGCCTAGGAGTGGAATTGCTTAAGTATTTGAGAAACTGCCTGATTGTTTTTCATAAAGCAGCTGCACTATTTCATATTCTCAATAGCAATGTATGAGGGTTCCAATTACTCCATATCCTTGCCAGCACTTGTTATTGTCTATCTGATGTGTGTATTTGGCCAGAAAATTTAGAAGCATACTAATGCTATTTCACACTGTGGCCTTTTCAGCTTTTTAGATAATTATGACACAGCTAGCAGGTCAGCCCCAGGAAGCATTCAAGATCTTTCCTCTCTTTAGTATAAAATTTGGATCACACATGCAAAGGTAATATAGACTGTGATTATTCAAAACAAGTTTTGAATGTATGTTTGTGTCTCATTGAATAATGAAAACATGTCTCACACAGCCAGGATGCCAGGCCCTGTCAGCCTACACAGCAGCAACCAATTTTGCTCTTCAGTATGTATGTCACTAGAATACTGCATAAGTAATAGCTATTAGATTCCCATACTAAACTGATGTTCTGACCTTGTTCTGTCATAGGTGGCAGCACAAAGAACCTTAGCAGCTTTCAGATTGGGTAGCTAGGTAAACATTGCTTTCAGTTAAGATCCAGCAGGAAAGTAATAAGGCAGCAATTTCAGATGTCATAGAAGCCAAGAACACATAGAGTGAGGTGCATTTACTTTACACAGCTAAGAATATAAAGGACAGACATTCTTCATCTGTCAGTTCACTGAGGAAGGAACAAAAGTGGTTTAGCATTGTTTAAAGCTCATAAACTGCAACCATAAATCAGCAAATTAGCTAATGATTGCCTCTGGGTAGTGATTCATGATAAAAAACACAAATGAGGAAAGGTACTCAAGCATTGCACTTGGTAGCTACTGAAAAAAATTAAAGTTCCATCTTTGTAAAAAAAACTCTTTAAGGGATGTTATAAAGCGTTGTGCCCTGGTAGCAGAACAATTACTGCTTCAAATGGGTATGCTTTATAATAAATGCCACCACATCAACTGTGCTTTTCAATGCTAAGTGTTGTAAATGATTCATACCGTGCCCAGGAAGATGCAATTGTGGGACTCATTTAGGAAGATGTAGTCAATCCTGTTTTAACAAAGTATATGGAAATAACATGAGTCTAATGCACAGTACCAAGACTAAGACCATGTCATTAGTAAAGATCTAATAAATATTTATTAATGAGGTCATTATTAAAATCAGAGAGTAACTTTAATCTTTGTAAAGCCAAATTAATCTTCTGCATCTTGTTTACTTTCTATTTCTACTTCATCACTTTATTTTAAACAGAATTATTTAAAATAATTATTTTATGTTATAAATGTATTCAAGTTGAATTATTTTATGTCATAAATGTATTCAAGAAGTATGTACCCAAAATTTCCCATATGGAAAGCACAATTCTAGGAAAGGAGGTAAATTTAAAGACATGGAGTCTGCCCTCAAAGAGTTTAGGACCATGCAAAACAATGCTTAGTGCATTTATTACCTGTTTTCAAAGTATTTAAGTAGCAGTAAAGAAGAGTAAGTTGAAAATGAATATTTAAACTGAGACTGACTGATTCCAGTTACAGCTTGTTAGATACTTAATTTACCTTAAAAATAAGAAAGCTTTCTTTTCTTTTTATTAGTATTAGCAGAGCTAAAATGCCTTGATTATAAAACTTAAATGTTGTAAGGGCCACTATAGACTACAAATTAGGGTTAATTTTGATAAAAACTGTAACTCTCAAATTTAATTCCAGAATATAATAAAAACACATGAAACAGTTGGCCTCCAGTGGTCACTGAGGCCTGTTACTTGGACTGCATGTCTCCATTTCCATTTATGAAGATTAATTTCTGCATGTTTCGGGAATGAAACATGAGAGCTTAGACAGAATTGGTGAGCTCTTTTTTTCTACTCCCATGTAAAAACACGATAAGAATTTTGTTTCTTCTTGGCTCAAATTTCTGAACTTAATGAGCTCAGTTGGGATGCAACATTGAGGATTCACCGTAGAATGCAGCTGGAGCAGAAGTCACCAGTTATGCCAGCATTAGCATGTGCCATCACACATGCCACTTGAATGAGAAATGTCACTGTCCCTCTCTCTCAGTAGATACCAATAGTTGCCCTTGTCTTTAGAAAGTCAGCTTAGATAGGCTAGTTAGAATCAGCTACTCTTATTATCTGGTGGCATCTTGGTTGTGGAGGATTTTAAGCTTCAGATTTTCCCCACTTACTTTTATTTGATTATTTAAGGAGGTGTTGTTTTTAGGAAGCACTTGTCCAGAGAACTTAAAGTAGCTTTAGTCATTATTTATATTATATTGATTATCAACAGAACAATTGCTGTTTTCTAAAGGTACTAAGTTATATGCTGAATCTTGAAATATATGAACTGAGATGTTGCAAGCAACCACAGTCATTTTTATATTACCTGCTTTGTGATGCAAAAGTTATTATTTATAATGATGTCAAAAAAGATCCATTGCTACTAGTTTGACATTGGCAAACTTATATATTTTAATGCATGCAATTTTAATATCAGTTTACAGTGTGAATCCTGGTACATTTTTATTCAAGTGTCTACCCATTTGAATTGAAAATGATGTAGAACTGCTTTGAATGTGACCTTTCCTTTTACTCATGCAAAACATTTTTGTTCTAGTAATAATTGAAGACAAATATTATTATAAAAGGTAACAAAAAACTGAATAGATTATTTTACTGAAAACACTTTGCTTAATCATTAGTGCATAAATAATATGCACTATTTTCATTCTAACATAAATATTCATTCTAATGGGGAAGGGAATCACAAAACTAGAAGCCATCAGTCATGAACTGAAAAGAAGAGGAAATACTTGCTATTTTCTCCTTCATATTTCTTTCTTACCTGTTCCTGCTTCTTTCTTTCAATATCCATACAATATTCTTTCTCTGTTCAGGCAGCATTTCTGCTTCATTCTTTCTAAGGATATCAAAACACCTGTGTTCTTGATCTTTCACCCACTTTCAATAACTTGTTAATATCACAGTTTTCCCTACATTCTCTTCACTTTGTATCTTTTTTTGCTGATGATATTATCCCCCAAATCATTGCAATTTTACTATTATGGTAAAGCCAAAAACATAAAGTAAATTAGAAGAGTAAGAGAGTTTATTAACTTGTCCAAAGTCACCCAGAAAATAAATAGCCAAGTTATGTTTGAACCTAACCAACAATGAATCCTTTACAGTTGACTATTAAACACATTTGCCTATTTGGATATTAGCCTTAACTCTATCCATTTATCTACCAATCCATTTCCTCAGTCGTTTTTTTCACCCTGTTACAAATATCTATTACTTGCTGGTTAGCTACTGGTCATATCCTTGTAAGGCACAGAGTATTTAATGGAAAGTAATAGAAACAGTCATGGAGAGGGGTGGGGAGATAGAGAAATGATACAAATAATCAGAAATAAATACATAATTACAAATTATAATCAACTTTCTATGTAAGAAAAGTAGATATTGCAATGAGATAATATAAGATGAACAATTATTTAAGATTGGAGACACAGACGCTTCTTATGGATTAAGAAGTTTCTGTGGTTTCCCCCACCCCATCTCTATAAAATGAGATCTAGAAGATGTGAAAAATTATCCAGTTGTAGCAGAGGGAAGTGCATTCCAGCCAAAGGAAAGGTATCTGCGAAATCCCTGAGGTGAGCAAAGAGTTTCTGGAGCATTGTGATACTGGAGGAGAGTGGTGAGTAATGACCCTGGAGAGGTAGACAGGGATGGATTATTCAGCAACTTTTAGCTCATATTGAGTAACTTCTCAATCTCATGCAAGGGAAAAACTTTAAACTTGCAAAACAAGCGAATGTATGAATGCATTTGGATTGTAGAAGATCACCCTAATTTTGGCATAGAAAGTGAATTGAAGGTAAGCAAGTACAGAAATACAGTCCGGTTAGGAATCCATTGTATTTAGTCCATGTGAAGGATGATAGCAAGTTGGCTTGCTGTGGTGGTATTGGGGCTGGGTCAAAATAGATGGATTCAGGTATGTTTATATTTATTATCCTTCACTGAAGCCTGGATAAATCACAGATTCCTTCTGAGCTCTAGTGTCTCTTTTATATCATTCCTGAATTCAAGACTATATATAGGTTGAAGAAGGCAAAATAAGTTAAGGAGCTTTGATTTCTTAGAAGAGACAATAAGATGTTTTTATTATTGTATTATTACAATAGTATATATTAATATTTTGAGATAAATTGTACATAGAAGAAATATTCCCAGGATTCAAGAAATAAGTATAATATAAACATTAGCGTGTTCTTCATTTTGATATGGCTCAGTGATATGATAGTATGCTTTCTTTAATTTTCTTATGTCTTTGGCCTTAGGCATTACTCAAATATAAATGTAACTTTATTAATGATGTTTTAATTTGAACATCTCAAAAATTGATATTTACAAAATATGTTTAACAACACAAGCTTTTTAAATAAAATGGACTTGCATTCCCAAATTTTAACTTCACAATACTTGTAACCTATATATGTGAGAAGTATTCCATATAAACACTGCACCAAGATAATCTTTGATTAATCCTTATGGAAAAATCCACAGCAAAGTAGAAAGAATTTGATTAAATTAGTGCCCTTCCTTTTTCCAGAATGTCTTCCTTTCTATTTTATTAGTCCTGAAGAAAAGTTTGCTGTGTTTAGATTCTTTCTGACTCTCATATCAGCACTAGAAGAGGATCTTTTTGTCAACTGCTAAGATTCAAGATAATTCTCAGTTATATATTTTTCTTCTTTGATCAGCTGATAGAGCATCTACCATACTGCTGTCATAGGTGCACAGGTTCTTGCTCTCATAGTTGTCCAGGTTCTTTGACCATATTTCTGGTTTGGATGGTATGCAGGTGTTATATAGGTCTCCTGAGTTGTTAAATGAGGGTTGTTCACAGAAGTTGGTTGGAATGAATATTGCTGTACATAAGGCAGTAGTCTGCTGTATGCTGTTAATTGTTTGTTCCTACCAGACGACAACAAAAGTGGTAACTGGCCCTACATTTTTTGATGCTTGTAGTGTTTGAGTCAGGTGCTACTTTTGCCAGTGTGGTCATTCATCACCTATTTCCACCCATTATGACCCATAATTATGACATTAGAGGAAAGGGAAAGTAAGGCAGCATTATTGCCTCTGGAAGTAAATGTTTGAACATTGTCTTACAATAAAGCTTGCTGCTTATTTACTTCATAGTGTAAATCTCTTCTTACCTTCAATTTGAAGTTTTATTGTGACACTCTCCTCCAGTAAAACAATAGCTGACTCATGTCTAGCTGTTGGTGCCTAAGGAAGATATGGTCTTCAGAGACCAAGTTGTGTGATAACAGATGGAGAAAAGCATGCAAAATCATTCATATTCAGGATTATTTCAGTAGCTACTGAAACATGAAACAATAATGAACACTTTGAATACTTATGTGACACTCAAATAGTAATGCTTTGTCTTAAATATTAGATAGATAGAATGAGATACGTCCTGATTTGTGAATTATATTTTCTTCCTGCTTTTTAGAAGTTACAAGAGTATCAGCCTAACATCATTTAGGGTTAAACCCAAAATGGTTCTCCACACCTAAGGTTTCCATAGTTTCCTTATCATACATTTAAGATCTTTTTATGACCCCCTAGATCCCTGGTTTGGAAGGACTCTGTCACAGATAAATGAATTCTGCCAGTACTGCACAATAGATAAATTTTCATATTTCCACCAATTTATTTTCCAATATTTAACTGTTTTAAAAAATAGCATTCTATCTGCATAATATGATAGAATCGTAAGCCTCTTGTCAACACCAACTAATTGAAGTATAAATACTTTGGCCTCCAAAAGTAATATGATGACTTTGGATTGCTTAAACTTCTGTGTTATTAATCTGTTGTATATATGCGTGTATGTGTGTATATTTCTACCTAATAGGTGTAACACTAAGTACAGCCATGGTGTTATTACTTTTAGCCAATTGACACTTCATCCTTACTAAATAATTGAAGAGAGATCATAGACATCCATTTTATTTCTCTAGTTAGTTATAGCACTGATGTCTGAATACAAATTAGATTCATCTGTTGCAAATAACACAAGGCAGTCAAAGGATTTTTCATGCTGCAGGCACATTTTTCTTATTTATTGGAAGCATTAAAAATGTGTCCCACCTAATTTTATCTGAGTAGATAGATAATAAAACATGAAAAATTTCATAAAGTTAAAAACAGGCAGCCTGCCTGATCTTCCTGTCATTTTGCCAACTCTTCAGATCCATCCAATAGTACCTGCATCTTTCACAATGAAAAAGTATGAAACTTGTCTTACATGGAGTCTGTGCTTAAGGGAAACCTGCGTGTGTTTATGGAATACATTAACTAAGATTCCTGCATTGGTTGACAAGACAGGGTTCCAGAGTAGTTTGAATAGCCATTTTGTGTTGAACAAAGTGGTGTCAAAGACGAGATGATGTTCTAAATATTATTGTTCAGATGCATAAATCTCCAAGACAGTTCTGATTCCATGTGGTAGATAGTGAAAATAAAACTAGATTAAAATTAGAGGGTATTGCCACTTCAGCTCTACTCCTCCTAAGTCAGATGACTTTGAGTATAGTACTTAATCTCTCTTGAACCTCATTTTGTCGCTTCAAAATTTAAGGAGAGCAGGTTGACATAGACGGTGTATTAAGCTGTTCACAATGTTTGTTATCCCGGGAAATATCCTCTAGTTTAAAAATAGTAGAATAAACAGCAAGTGTCCTATATGTGCATGAGCGTTGAGGAAATAAATGATGGTCATCAGATTTTCAACACTGGTTAGGTAATTCATTAATAAGATTACAGCATATTATTAATTTTCTTAGTACCTTAACTGCTTCTGTTGAAATTTGTCTTAGAAGTCTCTCTCTCTCTCTCTCAATCTTTCTCTCTCATGCACACACACACACACACACACACACACACGCACACATCAACATTAGCTGCACGATGCAGTATATTTATATTTTTGAATCTGTAAATGATGTCAATGAAATATTATATTGTAAGGCCATAAGCAAAATTCCTCAAGGGTTTGGGAAAGCATCATGTACAATTTGTGTTAAAATAATAAGTCCTTGTCTTTCTGTAGTACCCTGCACTGTTCAAAGCTATTTCATATCCATTATCTCAGTAGATCTTGGCAGTGGCACTGTGAAATGGCTGTAGCTGATGGCAATATCTCTGTACTATGGAAGAAAGAAATGAAACGCTATGATTGATGAGCTGTATCCAGGGATCACACAACACAACTGATTAGTAAAAGACCCTCTGACACTTACTCATATACTCTTTTCATGCCTCATTGCCATTGCAGTTAAGATACATTAATAAGAAACATTTCATTTAGAATTGCCACGTAGGCATGAGAAGGGTGATTTTCAGGAACTTTCTTCAACTGATACTAGTCTGAAGTTGTCATCTCCATCTGCATTAGTTAAAATGTCAGCGGTGGATTTTGGCTGCATCTCTCCAAGGTTAAAAGCTCCAAAATTCGAATAATAAACCCCCAGCTTTTCTCACTTTCCTAATGAAATTGGCAAACTTAAAAACCTGATGAAAGTAAAATCTGTGATAAGTAAAGGTATCATTCTGGCAGAAAAATATCCAGTTGAAAACCCTGACAAATGTACTTTTCATCCCTTTGCTTTTCTCATTGTGGGAATTTAATGTTTGAAAGAAAGGATAAACATGAATTAAGTAACATAACATTTCTATCAACAAACCATAATTCATATATTTGTATTCAAGAAATTTACGACACCAAATTTTAAAATAAATCTGTATTAAGTAAGCTTGACCGAAAATTGTAAGTAGACATAGACTTGTACTTTCTCTATTAAATTATCCATTTTACAAAAGACTCCTATGCATTAAGATTTATTGATTTTATGTTACTGTCTTAGAAAAGGAGACTTATTTTTAGTGCACCCTTTGTAATGAGAAGAATTAAATGATGAACCATACAAACAACCCAGAGAAGGTAACCAAGTCTCTATTTTGTGATTCCCATCAGCTAAGGACTTTGGCATAGTGACATCTTTGCATTTGCTTCCAGAGGAACAAATGTAAAAAATGCAAACACAATAGATGCCCTTAAACCAAAAGGAATTAGCTTTTGAGAGTATTCTTTTCTTCAATTATGATAAAGAAAATTAAACCAGAATCAGAGCTATCAAAGGTAAAAGAACTCATCTTATCTGCTGTTAATTAGTTTTACAATGCTAAGTGATTACATTTACATGTTGACTTCATTATGTAGTTTCATTGTATTTTATATTTCATATGCTGATTAAATACATATTTTTGTTTTTAAATAACAATATTGAAGAAAGTAAGGAAAATGCCTTTTGTGTCTTTGGGTTCCAAAAATGAGGTGCCAAGTATTCATTTGGCACCTCCAAATAGCTCTCTTTATTTGATTAATTCTACCCTGAGAGAATTTTTTGGAGATATTAATGTTTAGTAATATACACAGAAATAATATGTATGATTTAAAGAGTAAAACAAATACTCCTGAGATTAATGGAATTATAGGTGAAGGCTATGTTTGCACAGAAAGTGGAAGTAAAATGATTTTCCATTTAGAAAAATCTACCAACAGACATAAATCAAGTCATCAGTATTTATCAAATGTTTGTCCATTTCTCTTTTATATCCATATGTAGCCTTCAGTCTAATTCTGGCTGTTGCATAGAAACACTTGTGGCACAATCCTTTGAAAAACATTCAAATGAAGGGTAGAGGAAGAAGAGAGGCAAACAGAGAGAGAAAATTTTAAATTTTAAACAAATTTTAAAGAAATTGTAAGAATTGCTCAGGGATATTATGTTCTTTCAATAAGTTTTCTTAAAGAATTCCAGAAATATATTTTACAAAAGAGAATATGGGCACAAGTTCAGTGTAACCATAGTATTTTTCACACCAAAATATCTGGAAATGCATTTGCCCTTGGAAGAGCTTTTCAAGTCATTAAAGCCTGTCTTGTCTAACTACCTCGAATGATGAATGATGGAGAACTATATGCTGGGGTTTCATGTAATTTGTATCTGGAAGGAATGTTATAGCTCACGACCAAATGTCTTCCAAATAAACACCTTGTTGATTGATGTGACACATCATAAGACAGAAGGTTTTTTGAACTGGGAATATATGATAGAAGCTGAACATATGGTATTATATAGGAAAAGAAACTCTTCCAGAATGTGTGAATGAAATAGCAGTTTCAAAGCTATTTCAAAAATATTCCATTTGGGAGATGTTAGCAATTGTCTGGCCTAGAATTTAATCAACAGCAAGAGCTTTGAAAAGACTCCAGGACAAAGAATATAGGTAATGTGAAAAATGTCACTCAGGCCAGAAAGCATTACTAACAAATTGTTATGTCTCTGTGCTATAGACATCATTCATACCAATGCCAATAATAGCTCCACAAACTATAATTTCATAGATACACTGAGATAGCTAAGGTAAAGAGCCTGACCATTTTGTCTTTTAAGCACCTATTCTGGTAAATCCATTGGAATATGAAAAAAGTCATGGTGTTTTATAGAAAAGTTGTAACAAAACTAAATTGCTAAATTATGACTTGTGCATATAAGTAAGGATCAGCACAAATTACATATGCCAAGTCCAGAAGGTATTTGTATTCTATTAAGGTTTTGATAAAAAATTAATTTTAATCAAAGTATTAAGTTTATGAAGATAAAAGTATGAACCCTAAATATACTCTTCAAAAACATTTATAAATTATATTTTTTTGCTGTAGACTTAAAACCAAAAAAGTCATGGTTCAATCACGCAAGCCATTTGGACACAAAAAGACTTGAGACTGCCATCTCACAGGTATCTTAGGTTCCAGATACACCACAGGACATCAGCAGCCAGATCATGACTGGGCTTCAATCATTGTATCTTTCTCCATTTGGACTGTTCTTAAGGAGTTTGGTAATCAGCCAGTTGTCTTTAAGACCTAACAAACAAAGTGCTAGTTGCCTAACATGACACTTCTCAGTTTAAAGTAGAATCTTACAGATAGTTTTTTTTTTTCTCATGTCCCTCCCAGCAATCATTTTAGTTAAGTATTTACATCATTTCCTTTGAGGAAAATAAAGCCAGCACTTTCCCAAGGCAGAAATGGCAGCTGAATTCAAATTTCCTGATGTCAGGTTGCAGCTTTTATTTACCTTATCAAATTATTTGCACTTTTGAAGTTACTTGAAGCTTTTCAGACACACACAAGACAAGAGAGAAGAGACCTATAGATAAGAGGGTATATAGGCCATACTCCAAACCATGATTAGGTGGCCTTGTTTCTAAAGTCAATCCTTAAACATATATTTATTGTGATATTTAAAAATAATTTAGACCATTCAATACTTTCCTTTTTTTGTTGTTTCTTTTGAGGTAGTGTCTTGCTCTATTGCCCAGGCTGGAATGCAGTAGGCCAAACATGCCTCACTGCAACCTCAACCTGCTGGGCTCAGGTGATCCTCCTGCCTCAGCCTCCTGTGTCGCTGGGACCACAGATGTGTGCCAGCACACTTGGCAAATTTATTGTAGAGATGGGAGTCTCACTTTGTTGCCCAGGCTCATCTCAAACTCCTGGACTCAATCAGTCCTCCCACCTTGGTCTCCCAAAATTCTGGGATTACAGGCATGATCCACCACACCAGGAAAAATACTTTCCTTTTTTATTAGTGTACAAATATCTTCACCTCATATAATGACTTATCCCTAATTATGCTCAGAATATGCTCACAGTTTACTACAGTTAAAATTGCCTTTGGACATTTTTGTGAAAATTATTCTATAATTAAATTGTTCCTTAAGTTATTCTATATTGGCATATTTTGAATAGATAATTTCATTTTCTTTGCCAAAAAGGAATTGTTTTCTTAATATAATTGTATTTTCACCGTGATATTTAAGAAGATATTTGAGAAATTTTAGATAAATCTATTGATCATATTATGTACATTTTATGTGCACTGAGCATATTAATTACATTCATAAAGATACAGACATCTCTCAGTTTTTAATTGGGTTATACTATGAAGGTTCATGTATTAGTCATTTGCTCAGAATTCAATTTTTCTCAGGAAAATAACGTTATGAATATTGACTCAATCAGAATACCTTTCAAACGACCCTTTAAGTCATGGTATAGATGAAGGAATCACAGAAATAATAATAATATTGATAGAAATATATTTTATTAAGTAAAAGTAAGGGTACATTATAAACTTAATGCTAAAATGCCACACACACACACACCACACACACATTTTTCTTATCTTCAGGAGTTGGACAACTGGTAATGCTTTAGGGGTAAATAGATATGTAACCTTTCTATCATTTGTGGTTTTTTAGTCCATAATGTAATAAGACATTAACAATAAGCCAGTCATTTGAAATGTCCTTTAAAGCTCTGAGTTCCTTTGGTATAGAAATTACTGAACATGTCTTAAAAAGGCTTAAGGAGCCTCAATGCTAATCACAAAGATTTACCAACTTCAAAAAGAAGAAAAGCACTGATCTTCTGACCTGTTATTATGTTCAGTGCATTTTTAAGTATGTTAAGAGAAGTACATCTGATCTAATTACAGTTTCTCTCAAATTTTCGGACTTTTTTTTATATCTTAATATACCTGAAAAAGAAGTACACTTTTAGAACAAAAATTTATTTAGGAACATTTTTCCCCTAATGATATATAAAATAATAGTCTATCATCATCATTTTACATTTTGCAGAATAAAATGTTACAGATGTCTAAATTATCTACATCACTAATATCATGTTTACTTTATTATCATGACTAATAGCAAGCTTTACAGTATATTATTACCAATAAGCTCAAGCATGTATTCCAACTTCCACTTTACCATTTGGCTCAAAGGTAGAATGGTAAGCTAGCCTTAACCTGTACCCAGGACATGACATTAGACCTCAAATGGGAAACCAAAGACACAAGTGCCAAGTTAAAGCAGACAGGCTAATGAGAAAAGGTTGGACTGCCAGCCTCGTTGTCAACTAGAAGAGAAAGAAATGGGAATTAAAAGCTTCAAAACTAAATTCTGTATGATGAATGCAGAATTGCAGAATTCAATAATCAGTGGAATATTCAACATTCATCTCTCTTTATCACATTAGGGAAAGTTGAAGACAGGTTTCCAAAATGTTCTATGGTTTACCAATTATATTTTCCAATTTTCTTTCTTACACAGTGAGTTGTATAAGGACACATTTAGAGAAGACTTAGATAGGTATCAGAGAAGACCTCTAACAATAACTCCTGAATGTATAGCTGTCAATTTATCATTCTTGAAATTCACTCCAGGCTTACCCCAAACAGGAAAAGACAACAAAAACAAACCACTCAAAACTTCGCTAGGCTGAGTGTGAGTCCACATTCCTTTACCCTGAGAATAAGCTCTACCCATATCAATATATCCTCCACTTTCCAGTATTGTCTGCTTGGAGAATTTAATTAGAGAGGACATGGAAAATGTGGTTTCATATTATATTTTATATTTCTTTTCCTTCAGGCTCTCAGACTATCATCTATATTCAGCATGCAATTATCTATTTTTTTAACTTAAAATAGATTCAGAGTAGTAGACAACTTGAATAGGAATAGTAAATAGTTAATTCCCTTGAAATTTTTCTGAAGCATGTATGAGCAGGCATATGGGGGAAGATGGAAAAAGTGGGTTTTTAAATGTGTCTCCTATCTGCATGTTGCTTTGCAGTTGGAGTAATCTGGCCATGACACCTTTTGTTCTCTCACTCCGATGTGTTCTCTCTGGGTCCCAGACTATGGGTCCAGTCTTTGTCCTGACTACTGTTACTGCACCAAAGATTTATACTATGTATGACTCCGGTTTTACATTGATATATCACTATTAGCTTGCATGAAAATGATTTGACACATGAGTTTATGGACACCATTTTCTGCTTTACTTCTTGCATTACCTGTAATGTGACTATATAAATATCTGTGTTTCCCACAGTGCTTAATTGACCTGCTGATAAATAGTTTTAATAAGTTTACTGTATTATCTTTTACTAGGTTTTTTTTTTACCATCTAAGCTTCTTGGGCTAATCTTTTGCTCAATTCAGTTTATTTTTCTAAGCCAATAACAAAGCAATCTCCTTAAAATTCTCAATCCAATAGGGCGCAGTGGCTCATGCTTGTAATCCCAGCACTTTGGGAGGCCAAGGCAGGCAGATTCCCTGAGTTCAGGAGTTAGTCACAAGCCTGGGCAACACGGTGAAACCCCGTCTCTATTAAAATACAAAAAAATTTAGCTGAGCGTGGCGGTGGGCGCCTGTAGTCCCAGCTACTCGGGAAGCTGAGGCAGGAGAATTGCTTTAACCCGGGAGGCAGAGGTTGCAGTGATCCGAGATTGCACCACTGCACTCCAACCTGGGCGACAGAGCGAGACTGCGTCTCAACAACAACAACTACAACAAAATTCTCAATCCCAACTACACACACACATGCACACAATGTCAGCTATATACACACTAAAACGTACATCTGTGTTATATTAATAGATATTAGAAAATTAGTTTGAATAGAAAATACCTCTATATAACTCTCTGGAGTTAAAGGCTGCATAAATTTTTAAAGAATCATTTTGCTTGTACTTAGTGGTTTCCAGAGTAAATTAATAATCCTAACCCACTGTATACTAATGAAGAGAAATGCTTTCAACACAACTTAAGGTTCATTTGTTAATTTGACAAACTAATGTGAAGCATCACCTATGTGTCATGTATACAAAGATAAATAAAAGACAAATGAAAAATAGCAAAAATATACAAAGATAAATAAAATATTGTATCTGCCATCAAAGGTCTTATGATGGTCAGTGTAAAATCTTGTGACAAATGTTTAGTGTGATAAATACTTTAAGAAGCACATCAAAGAACAGGGCAAGGGGCAGAGAAGAATGAGGGGACTTGCTGAAATGCAGAAATAATTACCTCTCAGCAGCCTGAGGGATACCCAAAAGGTATACAGAGGAAAGAACTTTTGAGCTAAGATTTAAAGAATAATATCTTTTAATGACTTACTCACTGGTTATGATAAACTCTTGATGTTTTATCAAGTGCTGGGTTAATAATGAAATGAAAGATAATTGATAAAAATTAACCATACAAAGAATAATGAAAGGGCACTTATAACCCTTCACCCGCACCTGTAACCTGTAGCTCTCTTTGCTAATTGGAACCTTTCAGGCCTTACTCCTGAAGTTGCCTTCTCAGAAATCCTTATTTTCTACCCTCTTAAGATACCAGCACCTTTTCTTTATAGACTTTATCAAAATTGGGAAACAGATGTGATCTCTGTGCTTATTTGTGCATTGAAGCCTCATGAGATGGTTGAGCTAATATGCAGGATCAGACTGTCACATTGAATCCATTGATCAGAGATTGTACCCAGCATGAATATCTGTTAAGAATATAAAGGATTCAGGAAATCCAGAAGGCTTGGGCAAAGGATAGAGAGGTCTGAACATCATAGATGTCTCCCAGATCCTTCTTTCTCACATCAGACATGCATGTCAGTGCCAGAATGATCAGTGATGTCTGTAGGTGAGGTCCACAGGGTTACCTCACAGAACAGGGGGGATTTAAATTGTGCAGAATCTCCACTTTATACCTACTGTGGACCTAATCATGCCCTTCCCACAATCCACAAATTCATATGCTGAACTCCTATCCTCCAATGTGATGGTATTTGAGAATAAGGCCTTTGGAAGATAACTGGGTTTAAATGAGGTTGTGAGGGTGAGGTCTTCATGATGGGATTAGTGCCTTTATAAGAAGAGACACTAGAGAGCCTGCTGTCTCTTTCTGTTAGCCATGTGAGAACATGGCAAGAGGGTATTATCTGCAGGCCAGAAAGAGAGTCCTCACCAGAGTCGGACCACACTGGTACTCTGATCTCGGACTACCAGCCTCCAGAACTGTGAGAAAATTAATTTCTGTTGTTTAATCCACCCAGTCTATGGTGTTTTGTTAAGGCAACCCGAGTGGACAAATATATACCCCAGAGAGCTGTCCAAGTTACTTTTATTGTCCAAGGAACTATGTCTTAAAAATCCATAGGTACTAGATTTATTGACTATAATGAATCTTTTAGCAGGAACATCCTGCCTAGCATTTTCAATATAGAAAATTGTTTCCTCCTAACAGGCATCATGTGTCAGCTTACCTGGAGGTCCAGCGGATAAGAAAATAAATGAAGTTCTGACTTCTTCTCCTTCCCCAAAGAGCAACACTCACATCCCTACTTCTACAAAGTTAGTCGGGGGATCACAGGCAGCCTGCGTTAACATCCTCCTCCCAACTGTAACCTAGAGGAAGAGAGGGACTTTGTGCATTTTGAGCACCACGGTGAATCCTGGGCTTTGCAAGTCGTCTAGTGCAGAGCTATTCAAAGAATGACCTAATGATGTTTATTACCTAATGGGTGAAACTATAACTTACATTTGTTTGTTCTAAATATGCTTCCCTGAAACCCCAAAATGTATATACTTCCAGCACGAGGTGATTGAAATAATCATTGACATGGCTGTCATATATTTTCTAATGAAGTAAACAGTTGATATAATTTTATATAGTCTCAATTATTTCCTTGCTAAAATTATGTTCTGATAGATATCGAATAATTGAGGAAAAGAACACAGGCCTTGGCATCTTCTAGCTAGCTATGTCGTGTTAGGATGTGTTCACCTTTAATATTGCTTTGGGTTCTGTAACTCACACTAAAAAAATTATGAAAGTCCTCTGCTTTCAAAAAACTTCCCAAATTTTATGGTAAGGGTTTGTGAGTAGAAATGTCTCCCAAAGAGCCACTGCATTTTATACAAATAATTGTTTCAAGGGCAGATAGGAAATAGTGAATCATCCTATTATTTTAAACACTCAACGTGAGTTTCTTTAGAGGCCAAAAAGGTCAAATTTATAACTAATTAACGAATACTACCTGTATGGGGCAGGTTGCTAGCATCGACCAGATGACACACTCACTGGGGTAAATGAAAAGAGCTCAACAAAGGGTCCATTTCAACTAGGGATGGTGAAGTAGCCAGAAGCCAGTAACAGCAGGAAGCTTTAAAACCCCTTCTCTGAAAGGGCAAGCAGGAGGCAATGTTAAGAAATCTGTAAAAGCAGCCACCATGAGAGACTGGCTATCAGACAGGAGCCACTGTCAAACCTTGGCCCATCAGAAGAGAGCAGATGTGGCAGAGGGAGATATACATCCTCATCTTTTTCCCTTCCTTCCCTCTGATTTCTTGCCAGTGCCTGCTCCTGGCTTAACATAGGAGAAAGCCAGGTGTTAAGAGAGCTTGGGTGTCTTAACAGAGCAGTCTAGAGAGGTCTCCTGGTGTACAGAGAAGAGTGGATGAGACAAATTTTAACTATGGGAAGCAAAACCTAAAATATGCCCATAAAACCCCTAAAAAATGCCACAGTTCTTTACATGAAGACCAGGTCCAAGGACTAAAATAATTTAGGGGAAAAATAAAATATTTGGAAAACTCCTTCTTTGATTATTTGCAACCCAGAAGTATTTTTACATCTATGTTGTCAGGTTAAGAATGTCCTGTCCCTCCAAGACAGAGAAATCATCCAAGTGTTGGCATCCGAATCTAGCACTGCTTCTTACAAAGTTATTTAACCATCAGTTTTACAATGCTTAGTATGTGGCAGGTACTGCTCTAAAAATTTTTTAAATATTGACTTATTTAATTTAATCCTCATACAGTGATGTGAACTAGGTTCTATTCTCATCATCCCCATTGAGTACACGAGGACACCAAGACTCAAAGAGGTAAAGTCGCTTTCCCTAGCCCACATAGACAACAGATGGTGGAGCTACCATCTGAACCCAGATTCTTGGGCTGCAGTGTCTGTGTTCCTAGCCATTATAATGTGCCACACCCTTATGGGGGACTTGTTGCATGACCACAAGCACATATAAATTTTAAACGGTAACTATGTCAACAGATCAAAAGGAATGATTTTTCTTAGATGAATTTTTACAACCCTCTTAACTGCGTTCATTTACTTTTAAGACCTTTAAAGAAGAAATGCATTTTCTACTCAAAATCAAACTAACTACAAAAAATATTTAGGATAATTTTGGTGTAAGTACACATAGGTTGGCGTGCTATTTGTCAGAGCTAGAAATTTAGAGGTATATTAGAGGATTAAGCATGATTAGATGCAGAATTATGGCAGCTATTTATGTGAGCAAATTCAGCATTTACACCATCAATCCCAAGGACTCAGAATATGTTTTGCCTATGGAAACACTATTTTAAATTGATAATTCATTTCATTTCACAAGAAAGAAAATGTGCACTTTGTCAGATGACAATTCTTTGAAAAACATAATTTTTAAAGGCTGCAATGACATTTTATAGAAATACTGTTTTAGCATAAATTAGTTTCATTTTCAGACTATATATTCTTTTTCTACATGCTTTTGTCTAATGAAATAATTTCCTCCTTGATTTCAGCTAAAATAACATAAATATTAAAATGAAGATTAACTTTGTGATAAAAAGGTCTGTATCTCTGAAAATTTTCCAGATAAGAATTGTGAAATGATAGATTTTAATAACCTATAGCATAGGAATTTTCCCAGTTTTAATACTGGTGAATATTTGGCAATGTGGACAATTAGCCATTTGAATGACATGACTATGATTAATGTACTACTCTTGTTTTTAAAATGTGTAGTAAATTTGATTTTTAGGAAGCTTAGATTTCTGGTAAATATTTAAATATTGTGCATAAGCAGGTATTTGCAGACAATCAATTTAACAACTGAATTTGACCATATTATACTGTTATCTATAACAAACAGAAATGATTTAATGTCATATTAATAAAACTTAAAGCCTCCCTAGTTATGTATGTTATATGAAATTTTCAAAGTATCTTAAATTTCCTGAGGCATTTGAAAGTGGAAATTCTAAAATGCATGTTTTTCCATGTTCCAATTTTAGGGCAAAGTAGAATCCTGCACTTTCAACAGATGTTGATGTCTTAGTCCATTACACTGCTATAAAGAACTACCCGAGACTCGGTAGTTTATGAAGACAGGAGGGTTAATTGACTCACAGTTCCACAGGCTTAACAAGAAGCATGGCTGGGAGGCCTTAGGAAACTTACAATCATGGCAGAAGGCTGAGGGGAAGCAAGCACATCTTCACATGGCAGCAGGAGAGAGAGAGAGAGCATGAAGGGGGAGTGCTACACGCTTTCAAACAACCCCATTTTGTGAGAACTCTATCACGAGACAGCACAAGGGGGATGGTTCAAAACCATTAGAAAAACACCTTCATGATCCATTCACCTCCCACCAGGCCCTCCAACACTCAGGATCACAGTTTGACATGAGATTTGGGTGGGAACAGAGCCAAACCATATCATTTGACTAGACAAGATGAATAAAAATTGGAGCATAAGCTTTACCAGATTCAGAGCTTTGTTTATTGTAAACACAACTGCTTAGTGCTCTGACAATACTCTTTGAACTTTTAAAGTCATGCATATCTTGTATTATTAAAATTAAAAAATTTTCTTTTGGGAAAACTCTGAAGATAAAAGTAAATATTTTCTGTTTGGTTTTTGTGTCACCAAATTAAAAAAGAATTGATTGTTAATATTTCTACATGATTTAACTTGGATCTCACATTTTGGAGCATGTTATTTCAGACATTATTTCTTCATTAAGAGACTCATATACATGTTTTACTGGTTTTTGATTTCTCAGTTTTAATTTTATAATCTGCAAATTTTGAGTAGCCACACATTTTTGAAAACTGTAAATTTGAACAACCTTTACTTCAGGTACAAGGTCATCTTAAATCGACATACTCAGAAGATAAAATGTATGTTACAAGGAAGCAACAATTCGTCAATACATCCCAACATTCAGGAAAAGCAATAGATAATGGAAAACCATTTTGAAGCAATTACCTCACTGATGAGGATAATCATAAAATGAACTGATTTGTTATAATGAGTATCATGTTCTGAGAGAAATATCGCATACTAAGACAATATCCTGGAAGAAATATTCTATTTCTGAACTTGCTCACTTGGCACATTAGACTATGTCTTTAACCATCAGATAAATTCTTCCCAATCTCTGCAATCTTTTTATATAAAGAGAGGACTTCTTTACATAAAATTTGTGTAAAGAATAGCAATGATATTCTGCAAAAGACTGAATACACATGCTTTATCAGAAAATGTATTTGGTTTTAGCTTAATATCAAAAATTATATACAACTTTTTATAGGGTTCCAATATAAACTGAATTTTTCCTCACTGATGATCTGGGGAAAACCTTTAGTGAGAACTAAGAGATGTCAGCAATGTGTTATGTATGTCTCCCCAACCCTCCTTCCTTGGTTGTGGTGGAATATTAAAGCATTCTCATGGCCCCTTTGCAACTGAGTCTAGTCAGAAACATAGAATTTACTTTAACTCAGTAAAACCCAGCAACCAACACCTATCAGCTAGAATGACCCCATCATGCATCATTTAGCATATATATGTTAACCTAGGCATTGTGTCAGACACTGGAGATTTAATAGTAAAAAAAAACTACCCACATAGGAATGGTGCCTGTCCTTATGGAGATGACCAACTGGTGGAATATAGAGTTACAAATCAGAGAGCTAATTATGATACACTGTTTCAAGGATTGTAGTAGAAATAATATGACTTATCATGGGTACAGAGAAAAGAGACACTGATCTCTTCTGAGGGGATGTGAGAGAGTATTTAGTTGAGGTTATAGCCCATGTCACAGCTTAGAGAATGAAGATAGAGTCTGAGAAGGAGAGAGCTTGTTTGTAAGACTACATTGCTGACATAGTGCAGAGAACTGAACACAAAAGCCTAGAGTAGGGAATAGAAATAGGTTAGCTGGAGAGTTAAGCTAGGGCCACATAAATAAATAAGAAAAATTTTAGGGTGATTTAAGAAGTTAGACTTCATCCTAAGAATCATGGAAAACCATGAGAAGATTTTTAAGTATGCTAGAATGAGACCTGAGTTTTGTGGAGAATTAGTGAGAAGAGTAGAAGATTGAAAAGGAAACCACATTAGAACATTGAAGCACTGATGAAGATGATAGAAAATGGCGATCTAATACAAGGCTGAAGGTACTGGAGTTGAGGAAAAGTCAAGAGATTCATGAAATATTTAGAGAATAAAGTTAACAGGACTCAGTGATTAACTGGATATACAAAGGGAGGAGGTTAGAGTGTTCAGTCTTCTTGACTTGGAAAACTGGGTAAATGTCGACATAATTTGCTGGGATAGGCTACAGTAGGATGAAGAAACAATTTGGGAAAAGAAGATGAACTTCGTTTTCGATAGACTGATTTGGAGGTACCTATAGGTTAGCCTAGAAAAGATAACTAATTGGCAGTGGGCAATACAGGTCTAAAGTTTATCAGAAAAAGTTGGTTTGGAACCATACACCTGGTGTTTATCCCTAGAGATGGCTATGGAAGTCATTGAAATGAATCAGGTAATTTTGTTTCTGAGAGTATTTTAAGAAAAGAGAAAATGGAAGAATCTCAAATAAACACATTCAAGGGAATTCATGAAAATTCTTTAGAAAATTTGACACAATGGGTCAACTATGTCTTCTGACTACATAAATGAAGACATTTTTATCTGGAGTGTGCATACTAGTAGGTTCAAGCCTTAAACAACTTCAGACACCTATATAATCTGTACTATGTTGAATTCTTACTCTAACAGAAATACCAGTCATTGGTCTCTAATGGAAAAAAAAATCTTAACAATGTGACACCCACTAAAAATGGAAGCAATCCATAGGACATCTAAAACCTAGCTAAAATAAATTCATAGTTTCCAAGGCTTATAAGTGGAAAAAAAAACTTTATTGCAGCAGTAAAATGAGTCTCCAACACTCATCACTCTAGCAACCTGCAGATGCGTAGTGGGAACATAGCCAAGGAAAGATAGAAAGAGTCTGCTTGCCAACAGAACTTTCATCTTCAATTCAGATAGTTGATCTTAGAAGTGTCATCTTACCTTTTATACGCTCTCAGCATTTTAAGTCATTGATACCTGTGCATTAGCATTAAAATGTTTCCACATAGATCCAGCTGAGTCCTCACTCATATCCTGTGTCCACTAATGATGCAGTGCAATTACACAAGTTCTACAGAGGACATTAAAGCAATCCTTAAATTTTAGCAAATATAAAAATTATCTTGAAAGTTTACTAAAATGCAATGTTGCAAACCCTAATCTACACTTCCTGATGTAAGATGTCTTGCTAGTAGGACCCAGGTTTTTATATTGTTTAAATAGCACCCCAGTAGATTCTAACAGAGGTGGTCCACAAGCTACATTTTGAAAACCTCTAAAGTAAGAGAGAGTTGAAAGTCAAGTATTCAGGTTCCTGAGGGGTGCAGTTGTTTAATTGATGAGGAAACATAGATATCTCTAATAATGCTTAATCTTATGGAACCAAGGGAAAAAATAATAGACAAACAGGTTTAAATCTCAATTCATTCAGCTTACATAGTCATTCGATACAGATTTCCCAATTCTGAGTGAAATTCTCCTCACACAGTCAGTAGGAATTTAGTCAGCCCCATTAGAGTAGATGTAAGAAACATAAAAGGAAAGGGTGCCACACGTATATGGCTATCCAGGTAGCACATTGATTCTCTCAATTATCTGTTGTTTACTACCATTCAATTTATCTCCAAAATAACCTGTTATTAAAAACCACAGACCTAATAAATAGTTTGACTAAATGTGTCCCACATGCATGGAGAAGACCATAAGAAATCTGCCAGCAAATGAGATCCCTTCTGCATAAATGGATTGTGTATGTCTGTAGTCTGCAAATTTACATTAAAACAGGAATACAAATGTGACTTCCAGAAAACACCTATGAGCAAAAATTATTCCTGACAGGAAGCAGGGATTGGTTTGACCCTCTAATTAGTTTATATTTCATCAATTCTAAATTGATTTTCCAGAAGTAAACTCTCCCTAAGATCTGAATTTGTTAATCTGACTAACTGCTTAAAATAGCCAAAATATAATTTCTGTTCTATAACCTCAGGCCCTGTCAAACCTATCTTTTCTTGAATATTCTTCATCTTCTCTATAATATCTCTATTCACCCACTGCTCAAGCCCAAAATCTTATATTTCATTCTATGTTTCTCTATTTTCTCACCTCCCAAATCAAATCCATCAAGAAGTGATTTTGGTTACACTTACAAAACGCATCCTGAATGTCCCCATCCATGGTGTGGTCTGATCTGAGCCATCATCATCCCTCAACTAGAATCTCATGAAAGTCTTCTAGTGTCATCTAATGGATCTTCAATGTCATCCCATGGTAATTTGAAAAAGTTAACCACAACTCTTTTCACAACTGACCAAAGCTACTTGCTAGCATCTCCATTAACTTTCTTTCTGGCTCAGACAAGTGGCTTTGTGCATATTGAGAGCAAGGTTCTTGAAACAGACTGCCCAGGCTTGCATCTTGGCTTTACCACTTTCTAGTTTGCACGAGTTAATGAACCTTCCTGTGCCTTACCTGAAAATAAAGGATAAAATGCTACACACTTCACAGGGTGTTTGACAATGCTTTTTATTGTTGAGAACTTCACTTTTGTTCATTATTTGGGACTTTGGCACCTGCTAGTTCCTTTAATCAGACTGCTTGTTCCCAGCTCTTGGCTTGGCCATTTTATTCTTATCAGTTGGTTTCAGTTAGAAGTCAGCTGTTCAGACTTATCTTGCCTCATCTGCCTGCCTATTTCTTTCAAATCTCTTAACATCATCAATTATCATGTTCATTTGTTTATTTTTCTGTATGTCTTCACCTAAGTGCTAGGAAATGGAAAATTTGCTTTCTCTAATATTGAAAACAATATTTATAAACATGAATCAAATTTAATGTAAGGCCCTATTTGGGAAGAACAAAATTGTTTGTGGACCTCATTTTATCTCAGAAAGAACAGTGCACTCAGTTACTAATCAATAAAACAAGCAACAAAATGCCGAAAACACAATATTGATATTGTTTATAGATATATCTGTATACAGCATTAAGAATGGACAGATAAGATATGTATCAACTTGAGAACTGTGTATGTCTCTCAGGAAAGAAAGAGGGGAAGAAAGTCACAGTAGGGACAAAGTAAGCTCCAACATTTTGTTTTATTTCCTTAAGTTACATTATATTTGAAAATATTTTGAGAAATTAATATTGAAATGTTTTTATTTAAATTATCAATTAAAATTTGGTGTAAAAATTATTTCCTGAATCCCTTATTCTCTTAACCCTTCATTTGGCCTCATCTGAATATTCATTTCCTCAAGATTGATTTGTATGAATGAAATCATTTTATAGTTTACACATTAAATACCTCCTGCCTTTCAAAAGGGCTAAAGATTTCTCAGTGGTTAAAATGCATTAAGATATTATAGCTAAAATAAGCATTTTTAGAAGAAAAATATATTGGAAAAAATTAAGAGAAAAAAAGAGAAATTAGAGGAAGTAGTTAATTCAATTATTCACTAAACTAACTACTGAGGGTATTATAGATTTTCCCGAACCTTTTGGGCTCCAAAAACGCAATTCCTAGTAACATACATAAGAATGTATATTTTCTTTGACCTAATAATCAGATTTTGAGGACATTATTCTGAGGAAAAAATATCGCTCAAAGTAACAAGGAAAAACATTGTTAGGGGGAGATAAAACTGGTTGGTATAATTTTTATGCTTATTTTGTTCACTTTGGGGATCTGGAAATCCAGTTTTACTATCCTTCAGGACTTAGCAGATTCTGGGAAAATGGCTTACAGTAACCAAACCTACAGGAAATGGATGAGTATAATGAAATATTAATTTCACCATTTACAAAAAGAGGCACACATTTTCAATGACCTTTTTGTCATTCCATTGTCCAGTGTCAAAAATGTGTGGTGAACGTGGAACAACAACATGATCTTGAAGTGCATTTCTTCTAGGCACTGTTAAACCATATGAATTCACTCTAGCCCAGACCCAGTATGAAGAGACCAGGATCCTTCATTTCCTGGATACTACTTCCTTAAGTCTGTCAGAGATAGTGCAGAATTAACACTCCCAATTTTTTAGCATTGGTGCTTCCACTTCTCTTTTTAATCATTATTTCTTCTATTCATCTTAGTATATTATATTAAATTTCAATAACTTCTTGAGTCCCTAACGTCTTTTTTCTATCCTTTTCTCTTCCCCTGTCTCTGCATTGCCTACTATCCTTTTTTTTTTTTTTTTTACTTACAGAGGTTTTCTCTGCCCAATATTCTGATTTTAACAATTGAAAGGTCTTTTTTAAAAAGGAAGGCAGCAAAATATCCTTTCTGAATGGAACTGATGTGAAGAACAGTAGAGTTGCATCTTACTTATCATAGTAGATATTATCTTGGCAAGTTGAATAAGAAATAATAAGTGAAATTCCTAAGTAAATTTGTGGCACTTTTAGGGATTTTTCCCTGTGATTCAAGCCTCTGGGTTTTAAGACGGGAGATGTGGACAATGTGCTAAAAATATTTAATGACTTTAATCTATGGGAGTTGTCGATCAAAATACAGAACTCCACATGGACAGCCTTAGGCATATCAACACTCTAATTACAGAAAGTCTGGCCTGTCACCAATGTTTCAACACTTGATTTATTTCCTGTTCAATTTATTCAATAGAGCCAGAGTTAATTGGTTTTCCAAATGAGTGTTAAAAATATAAAGAGCTAGCTTCATTAAGTGGAAGCTATACTTATTATGCACCAATGACTTGTAAGTCTATGTAAAGGTTAGTAGGGTGAAATTTCAGGGCATTGTATACAAAACCACAGCTTTAAGTTGGCACTAATATGGCTAATAACTAATAAATATCCAAAGCCATAATGGTTCATAAAAACAGAAAAGTTTATGAACTAAAAATTCTCTCCAAAATCGAAGGTATTTAAACAGACTGTGTAAAACATAGCATTGTATTTTTCAAATCTAATGCATTTTACTTTCTTTAGAAAGAGATATTTAGATTTTTCTTATAGCAAAGGAAAAAAAGTCTAATATACCATTGGATATGTAGCACACTGTGAGTATTTTTATATAGTGCTTAGTATTTCTATAATTGCCATTCTTCTATGGTACAGCAATGAAATTAATGTGATATTTTGACACCATAAGTGACAAATGGAGGACTAAATAAAGAAAGTTAATATGTATTGGGATAGTTCTGGGCTCCTACGTGGACACAAGAAAATCATAAAGTGGTGATTTTCATCTTACCATTTTCCACAATAAGTGCTTTTTTAAAAAACTTGAACACCATCATCAGTAATGTACTGTCAAATGTAATTCTCAAGAAATGGAATCATCATTTTGGAATTGAGTCATCATTCAGTGGGCAGCATTTACATTCTTTGTAGAAAAACTAGAGAAATGTGATTGCTTTGTGGAAAGTTTTTTTAGAAAACCTGAATATTATCCACAAATATAGAACTCATACCTCTGTACCTCTCCTTAATGTTTCAGCCATCATTACCACTTTCCTTGTTTTTTGATACGGTGGCAAAATCTCACCAGGTAAGTTGTCTCAAGTAGAAATGCTAAAGATGGAAATGACTAACTTCTAGCTACTGCATAAATTGTAAAAGTGTATGGTTTAAATTAGGACAACACTCATAGATTTAAGAGGAATATTTTTCACACTAAAATATTAATATAAAATGTATGTGGGAGAGTTCTAAATGTCACCTTGAATGAATATGGTGAGTTAATTTTGTTTCATTACGTAATATGGCATTCTACATTTTAGTAGATTTATTCTTTAAGAATAAATGAGTCTGTCTTTGCAAAACTGGATTTTCAAAACAGATAACGCTTGTATTTGTTTCATAGCATTGTGATAACGAAGTACCACAAACTGGGTGAGTTAAAACAAAAGACATTTATTTTTCTCATAGTTCTGGAGGCTAGAAGTCCAATATGTCAGCAGGGTCGTGCTCCTTTTAAGACACAGGGTAGAATCTTTCCTTGCCTCTCCCTGACTTCTACTGTTGGCCATCAGTTTTTGGCATTCCTTGGCTTGCAGCTGCATTACTCCAGTTTCTTCCTCTGTCTACACATGTATTCTCGCTGTATGTCTCTGTCTTCACACGGGCATCTTCCTTCTTCATATTAGGACACCAGCCATTTGGAATTAGGATCCATGCTAATCCCATGGATCCAAATTTGATTATATCTAAATTTGATCTGCCTCCAAATTTGACTATATCTAAAAAGACCCTATTTTCAAATAAGGTTATGTTCACAGTTTTCCGGGGTTAGTATTTAAAACATATCTTTTTGGGGACACAATTTAACCAATAACAACTTTTTTGTGGAAGTATTTTATACATTGTAAGCACTATGTGTAATTATTTAACTCAAATTTAGTTATTGTTTTAACAAATAGAAGTCTAAGGGATACTATTCCATCTCAAAACAGTGTGCTTTTAGATTTGGTAGAGTGAGTTTGGGCTTACTAAGGAACTTTTGGTATTTATGAGTGCTCTGTTAAGCTAAGCAGCATGGTTGAAAATCCTTCCCACAATAAAATATTGTGTTTATTGATTCAGCTTTAATATAAATATGCATTATAGCAGCACATATTTTAAAAATACATTTATCAGGACTTTTCAATGCAAAGGTTATTATCAACATATGGTATTATGGTAAGTACCAGAGACAAGTTATATAAAACCTGATCAAGAATAAAGAAGCCACTCAAAGTGAAAGCAGTGTCCAGGATCATTTGCTTGGTTGAGTATATTAATTCTACAGATTTCATTAAAAGCAAGGACAAAAATATTTTCTTCCTCAATAATTACTTCAGGGATAGAAGTGTTCACAGAGGCCATATTTCCAAGGTCATGGAATTATATGCTCTGTTATTTCCCTCTTGTTCATTGCCATTGATCCTAGAGATAATCCCAACCAACCTCTTGTAAATGCAAAGTCACCAGATCATTTTAAATATGTGAATAGTTTGGCAAGAACTCGTTACTTTTGCTAAAACCATAAAGTACATACCTTGTACTTGTGGGTAAAAAATGGCATTTGGAAAGCTAAAATATTATCGTAGTTCCTTCTTATTTGTGGTTTTGCTTACTGCAGTTTCAGTTTCCTGCTGTCAACCATGGTCTGAGAATATTAAATGGAAAATTTCAGAAATAAAAAATTTGTTAAGTTTTAAATTGTATGCCATTCCAAGTAGTGTGATTCCTTCCCACTCTGTTCCTCCTGGGACATGAATCATCCCTTCGTCTAGCATATACATGCTGTATATGCCACATGCTTGCTACTGTAAAGGAAAAAACATAGTTAGGTTTTCCCCCTGTATCCATGGGTTTTGCATCCATGGATTCAACCAACCTGGGGTGGAAAATATTTGAAAAAAAAAAATGAGTGGTTGTGCCTGTACTAAACATGTACAGACTATTGTCGTTATTTCCTAAACAATGCAGTATAACTACTATTTACCTAGCATTTACATTATAGTAGGTATTACAAGTAATCCAGAGATGTTTTAAAGCTTACAAGAGGAAGTGTGTAGGTTATATACAAATACTTTACCATTTTATATAAGGAACTTGAGCTTTTGTGCTCAAGTTTAGTTAACCTGCAGAGTCCTTAAACCAATCCCCAAAAGATGCTGAGGAACAACTGTATAAATAGCTTTCAGTACTATCCACAGGTTCAGACATCTGCTGGGGATCTTGGATCATATCCCCAGCAGATAAGGGGAGACTACTGTATTTTCACTGTGTTATTTATGCCCACCCCTGACCACACTCATTTGAACCCAAACAAACCCATACAATTCTAAACTTTGGGTAAAGTGAAACCATATTAACACTATATATAGTTTTTTGTTTGTTTGTTTTTGTTTTTTGAGATGGAGTCTCAGTCTGTCACCAGGCTGGAGTGCCATGGTGCGATCTCGGCTGACTGCAACCTCCAACTCCCTGGTCAAGCGATTCACCTGCCTCAGCATCCCAAGTAGCTGGGATTACAGGCACGCAGCACCACACCAAGCTTATTTTTGTATTTTTAGTAGAGACAGGATTTCACCATGTTAGCCAGGATGGTCTCGATCTCCTGACCTCATGATCCACCCTCCTCGGCCTCCCAAACTGGGATTTCAGGCACGAGCCACCGCTCCCGGCCACATATAGTTTTTAATGTAACTAATTAGTTCTTAGATTGGGGTGTGTTCATTTATTTTAATTTCAGTCATAATGAATTATAACATAATACTAAAATAGAAGAGAGCAGCAGCTCAAAGTTCTGATGCTTATTCAATAAGTAAACACCATTCCATCCTGAAGAATTCACTTGATATCTGTTTGCTACAGGATTCAAAGAATCATAGAATCACTCATTTGAGTGGACTTAAAAGTCAGCTAGTATAAATTTTCAGCCACAGCTTCATAAATAAATGAATAAATATGTTGCTTTATTTCATTAATCTAATTGGAGTTCAACCAGACTTAACCCAGGACGAAGCTTTTTTTACTGGCATGGAGGTGGGAGTGGGACTGAGTTGTTCATCAGGATTCTGAACAATAATAAGAGGTAAGTAAAAGCAGGGAGTAATAATGGAGGCAAAGTGCCTAGTGTGTGTCATACTACTACTTCTATGCACTGGAAGGTCACCAAGGAGGAAAAATACTTTTTCTTTGTTATAATTAACCACTATCTAGTTTATTCCAGACAATGAGTTAATTTCATTTAACTCTTATGGGATTTCACTATATTAATATTGATAAAGTAAAAGCAGTTCTGCTAGTAGAACTGAGCAGGGAGCTGATAATTCAAATGGAAACTACACTATGCAAGACTGTACTATAATTTATAAAACAGAAGAACTATACCAAGTAATGACATGCATGACTATCTATCCTGCAAATGACATGCAAAAACTATCTAAACGCATACTCTTCTAATATTAGCTTACTTAAATCTATATACACCATCTCAAAACCACAGACAATAGTAACTCCTCACAGATTAATGTGGTTCCAGAAATTCCTAGGTTTGCAAATCCTGCCTGATCCCTACCAATTCAATGGTCTCCCTGGTGATGTGGTCTCCTTGCAGTAGCATGCTATTAAACCTAGTTTAACAAACTATATAGTTGGGTTCCAATGGCCTTTAGTAGTATAATATCAAGAATAATTCTGAACACAGTATTGTCACATTACAGCAAAAAAGATGGTCTTCCATCAGAGTAGTCTATGCCTCATTAACTGAACCAACTCTAACTTTCTCATCTTGGATCATCTTTCTTTTCCTCCTGTATGTCATTTTCATAATACCAGAATACTTTTTCCATTCTAATTCCTGTATATGTTCTTATATTTGATTTTCTTAAAATTGTTACTTTCATTTTCTTTTCCATTACATTTTAATAATACATATAATTTACATATACACATTTACTTTGCACATTACATATAATGGTAGAAGCAAAATCTTTTTATTTGTTGCAAACTATGTTAGATTTTGAGAGGCTTCCAAAATAAAATAATAAGTGTCTTCAAGTAACTTAAATTATCATGATCTTAACATACATGTGAAAAGACAACTATATACATATAAATGTGAAAATACGCCGAGGCCAAGGTACAAATGTGAAAATGTACTGAGGCCAAAGGTATTAGAAAAATATATAAATGAGTATATCTCAACTCTCAGACTATGGTTTATTATCAATATTTTTTGTTTTTGTTTCCTTGTAAGGAATGTTACCACATTAAATATGTATTTATTCTGTTTTACAGAGTAGTGGTTTGTTTTATATTTTATCCTTTTATTGCCAAAGTTGACTATGTGAAATGTATTATGAATCTTTCTGATGTTACAGTTTCCTTAATATGAAATTCAAAGGTATTAGCCATTAAAAGTTATAAACTAGCTGATTAATGGCTCTTATTTTTCATTATAATATACGATGCATTTATACTAATTATTTTACTTACCTTTGACTTTGGTTCACTTATTTAATATTTATAAGTTTTAGTTTCCTCCTGGGTTGTTGGAAAGATTAAAACAGATGATTCACTTAAAGCTCCTCATGAAAGGTCTGGCATTTAATAAGCATTGTCTTTGGAGTTATTATTTATCACACATTTATTGAGCACCTACCATGTGACAAGCACTCTTCACAGTACTAGGAAGTTAAAGAGGTATAGTACACTTTTTATTAATGAACATTTCAAGGTTTAATTATCTGGAGAATGCAAAATCACATGGGTTATTTTAAAGAGTGCTGAAAGGCTGTCTTGTCTCGATGGTTGGAAGTAGATAAGAGAAGGATGGTGAAGGTAAGTGAAATTAGTCACTGTGGTTATAAAGGAAGGTAAATTTTAAAATTAGCAGGGCACCCACTAGTATCAACATAGAATAAAAAGAAAATGTATACAGAATCCTGAAAGATACAAAGATCTTTTCCATATGCTATAAGATAAAGATATGAACTTCATTAACTTTTTACAATAATAATTAAAGAAGATAATTTTAATGGAAAAGATATAAAGTCTGTGCTATAGGCATTTTCTTCTAGAAACTAGACAACTTTTGATTAAATCACACTGGAACTGGAATAAGTGTAAACCGAATTGTACATGAAGAAACATCAGATTTTATCGTGGGCTGACTATAAGTCTCAAAGGAGTAAAAGAAGGAATTTTGTGACATTTAGGTATCTGATTTGGTAATATGTAAAAGCCAACTATAAAAATGTTAAATGTGTTTAATCTTGGGAATAAAAAAAATCAAGAAGAGAGGAACAAGATTGAGCAAATGATATTGAAGCTGAGATATCAAGAAACATGTTGGTTCACTCACACGGTCAGACTGTCTATTAGAAAGTCAAAAATAACAGATGTTGGCAAAGCTGCAGAGCAAAAGGAACACTTATATACTGTTGGTAAGAATGAAAATTAGTTCAGCCACTGTGGAAAGCAGTTTGGAATTTTCTCAAAGAACTTAAAATAGAAGTACCATTGGGCCCAGCAATTCTATTACTGGATATATACCCAAAGGAAAATAAATCATTCTACCTGAGAGACACATGGACTTGGATGTTCATCGCAGCACTATTCACAATAGCAAAGACATGGAATAAACCTAGGTGCCCATCAGTGGTGGATTGGATAAAGTAAATGTGGTACATATACATCATGGAATGCTATGTGGTCATAAAAAGGACCATGTTTTTCGCAGCAACATAAATGCATCTGGAGGTCATTATCCTAAGCAAATTAATGCAAAAACAGGAAACCAAATATCACATGTCCTCACTTATAAGTGAAAGCTAAATCTTGAGTATATAAGGGCATAAAGATGGAAACAATAGACATTGGAGACTCCAAAAAAGGGAAGGAGGGGGAAAGGGCTGAAACACTTGTTATTGGGTACTATGTTCACTATCTTGAGTGACAGGATAAATAGAAGCCCAAGCCTCAGTATCATACAATATACCCCTGTAACAAACATGAGTATGTACCTCCCTGAATCTAAAATAAAAATGGAAATTCTAACTTAAAAAATAATAATAAAATAAAATGGTTTTCCATGGGGAGGAATAGGACTAGGGAGTAAGAACAAAAATGCATTTAAAAAACACATTAGTCCTAAATCTCCCTTTCCTTTGTACCCCCAAAAGAGCCCACTCATTCATTGATCTTTAGATCACAGTGCATTATTTTACTCTATTCTTATTTATTAAAGATGTAGCTTATTTTATTCAATTCTCAGTCCCTCTCTAAATATTCTATAAGAGTTTTGTACCTGAAGTCAGTATTTTTGCTGTCTTTATTTTCTTTTTAAATGTGTAATAAGCAGTACATATTTGATAATCTATCCAAAGTCTCTTATGTATGGCAGTATTAGTATTTTTTTTCATTCTAATATACATTTTTATTAAATTTTTACATTATTTACAAATTTGTAGGCTTCATTATAATAACAAAGCATTTATTATTTATTAGAATATACAAGTATGTTGTGACCTGATGGCTGGAAAATGCTGCTCTGGAGAAATTAACACTGGCTAGGCAGTTGAGAAGAGGTGTAGGAAGCCCAAGGCTTATATACATACAACAAGGCCCTGTAAGTATGATTGCTCTGCCACTCCATTCTGGCCTGCTATTGAATTGGTCATCTCTCAACACCACACATCAACCTCGGGCCTGACCTCAGCAATGTCACTTGATCATGTCCCTTCAGGGCATAGTCTAAAGGCTGCTGGGCTAGTTAGTAACCTGACCTCGCTCTCAGTATTCTGGAGTGATCAATATTACCATACAGAGGCCATTGCAGGACACTCACTGGTGACCCACTGGCTGGTATCACAGTCACACTGAGAAACCAAGGTACGGATGGAGAATGCTGTACCTCAAAGCCATTTGCCTCCTAGAAGTGTCCAATTCAGTGATTCTGGATCTTATCTGTCATAGTCTACCTTATTTAAGACCCTGTGGGACCTCCAGTTTCTCAATCCTTGCTCCTGTAGTATTCTTTTCAACATCAATTTTCTTGAGATACTGCTAAAAGCGATATATTTTTCTCTTATACTTTACAAAAATTGTCTTTACATTATGAATCTTCACAATGATGAAACTAAAAATATTCAGTGACTGGTGCTCCAGAATTTCCCGCATGATTTATACAGCTAAATCCTTGCTACAGTATAAAAACTGCAATATTTATTCATAGCCTTGAAGTTATTGAAAAGAAGAGGTTGTCAGGTAGGGTCTTGATCAGAATGTGTCTAAGAAGCTCCATCACATTTGTCAGATAAGTTTTTGAGGTTGCCATTTTCTGGGCACAGCAGTTTAACCTGACATTGGTTTGCAAAGCTTAATAAAAAGATTTTGCAAACCACATTAGTTCAAGTATCAATAAAACATTGGCTTTAGGTTTTTTTTATTGATTTGACATCAGCTCAGAAGAAGGCAGGAGTATGAAGGTCAATTTTTTTCTTAAGGTATTTTGTAGAGACCTGTTCTGATAACAGCTCAGATATTACAATAGCTAAGCATTTCAGGCTTGTGTGCAGTAATATCCTTTTGCATGAAAAGTTGCCCAAGTTTCTAGCTAACCAAATGTCAAAGCATGTACTTGGGCTGTAAACTAATTCGTAGCAAAACTCATTAAGAATTCTGGTTGCAGTAATAGCTTTTCTTCTATTGCCATTGCCTTTAATGAGAAGCAGAACAACAGAAGCCACATTACTGGTCTGACAATTTGTTCTATTGATTTTTTATGCCTGCTCTGCTGCCATCTACAGGAAGGAACTACAAAACATTAGACTGGTATTAGTAAATTTGACTTCTGCAAATATAGTAAAAAGAGGCTAGTGCTTAGATGTGATACCATTGCATGACAGTTTACCTTCTTTTTTTTTTCCCAGTGGAGTTCACTGGCTAAAACATAGATAAGGAATACATATTCAGAAAATCATTATTATAGACAATTTTTATTTCAATCATGGAAATAAAGAAATAGATATTGCGTTTAACAAATTTTCTAAACACATTTTATGCCAAATTTAATTGAATTTCATTTAACATTCTACTTTTTTCTTCCCTTTATTCCTTTTATATAATTATTTGTATTTTGTTTTAATTCATGTAAAAATCAAGAAAGAAAAAAAGAAAATTTGAATTTAATTTAAAAAAAAGTAAAGATACATGAAATATCAATACAGATGTATTTTTTACATTCCTGTAATCTTTTATCTCATTTCAAATCCTAAAATGTTCAATTTTTCATTTAGTTACAATTGCAGTCATTGAAATACAGAAATGAAGACTGTAATCCAAATCTAACCTAAAACATTCATTTCTCACTTATCTATTTTTTGATGTTTTATCCTTAATGAGCACACACTCCAAAGATATGACTCTGGCAGTAGCCATTTTAGAGTTATATTTAGGAGAAAATTGATCATCTCACTGAGAAATCACATTTACCCTTGATCAATACTTCTTCAGAAACCTAATGCTAAAACTCAGTTTCATTGTAATTACACTGACTTCTAGTAATAAATGTATTTAATGGAACTAGAACTAGAATTCTGGATATAGTTTCATGTTTATAACCTAACATATAAAATATAAGTTTTATGTTTTCTTTTAGGGCACATTTGAATACTCCAACTTCATATTAATGGATTAGTATCAATTTCTACATATCTCTAGTGGACATACATAGGAACTGGGTACTGAATGTGATTGTCCCTTGAAAATGAATTCTACTTTCAAATATTTAAGATTAATCAGTTTCATAGATTTAAACTACTAGTAGTGGTTGAGCTTACACCCCCACATATTACTTGACTTTATATATTTAAAATCATTTTAAATAAAGCTTAAATAAGTAAATAGGTTTGCCAGTGGAAACATTACTTCTCAAATAAGATGCCCATTGAGCAATAAGATGGAGCTTACTGGGTGAACATCCAAGCAGTTGCTTTAAGTGACTGAAAAAGTATTTAATTTGTTCTTCAGATCTCTCCGTAACATGACACTTGATTTAATATTGTTATCCAGTGTGAGTCTTATGGCTGGATTGTTACAATCTCCGTATGTAACACACTGAGTATGTAACAGAGTCAGGTTACATACTGCCATATGATTTCTTTATTATTATTATTTTTATTTTAACTTTTAGGTTCAGGGGTACATGTGCAGCTTTGTTACATAGATAAACTGTGTGCCATGAGGGTTTAGTGTACAGATAATTTAGTCACCCAGTTAATAAGTATAATATCCAATAGTTAAATTTTTTTCTGATCCTCTCCCTCCTCCCACCCTCAACCTTCAAGGAGGCCCTAGTGTCTGTTGTTCCCCTCCTAGTGTCCATGTGATTTTGTTGTTTGTCTCCCACTTGTGAGACACATGTGGTATTTGGATTTCTGTTTCTGAATTAGTTCTGCTTAGGATAATAGCGCCCAGCTCCATCTATGTTGCCGCAAAGGACATGATCTCATTCTTTTTATGGATGCATAGTATTCCATGATGTATATGTACCACATTTTCTTATCCAGTCCACCATTAATGGACATTTAGGTTGAGTCCATGTCTTTGCTATTGTGAGTAGTGCTACAATGAACATACCTGTGCATACGTCTTTATGGTATAATGATTTATATTCCTTTGGGTATATACCCAATAATGGGATTGCTGGGCCAAATGGTAATTCTTTAAGTTCCTTGAGGAATTTCCACACTGCTTTCCACGATGGCTTAACTAATTTGTACTCCCACCAGCAGTGTATAAGCATTCCCTTTCTCCACAACCTCACCTGCCTCTATGATTTTTTGACTTTTTAGTAATAGCCATTCTGACTTAGGTGAGATGGTATCTCACTGTGGTTTTGATTTGCATTTTGCTAATGATCAGCGATCTTGAGCATTATTTCCTATGCTTATTGGCCATCTGTATGTCTTCTGTGGCTTCTTATTCACAAAGTAAAATATGTTTCATCACAAGAAGGGGATATTTCAAGGTAATGTAGACTTTTCATCCTAAAAAAAATGATTTGACATAATTAAAGACAGTGAGTACAATATAAGCTTAATTTAGCTACCACACAATGTATATATACATGTATCAAAACTTTATGTTGTACATCATTAATATATACAATTTTTATTTAATTACAAAATAAAAATTAAAAATTGAAAAATAAGTTACAGCTTGTAAAATTTAGCCAGTATCTATAGAAATTAGGCCTTTTTTTTGAAATAATAGAAGGCAAAACAAAACTAGTAACTAGATTACATCAACATTTAAAATTCAAATGTGATAATATCATAATAAGAATATTTCTATTTGGGAAATTTGGGAAATCAGACCCGTATACCAATATAATAACATAATTAAAACACATTTTTAAAAAGTAATTATATTGCTTCATTTTAAATGAAGTCCACTTATCTCCTATATAATGGGTGTTCAAATCATCCATTTGCATTTGGGAATGGCTTGGCAAAGCAATTTTGATTCAAATCCTTCACGTGGTTGAAGTCAAATTGTGACTGGTGCTGAAATAGTGGGGATTCTGTAGCAACTGGTAGCTTCCTGGGCATCTCTCCATTTTTATGTATTCTCAGGACCTCACTACGTAGCCCTTTCCTATGGGCTGCTTTGGGCTTTTTCATGCCATAGTGGTCCCAAGGATATCAGGCTGCTTTTATGGCAGCTCAGGCTGCAAGTATGAGTACCCCAACAGAGAATCAGGTGAAGGCTGTATCATCTTTTATGATCTAGACTTGAAACTTTCAATGTCATTTCCAGCTTCGTCCCAGACCTTATCATATTTAAGAAAAAGGAGAATGTAGACCACACTTCTTGAGGAAATGTGTCATGATCACATTGTAAGAAAAATGAGTTGGATATGAAATATTGTTGTAAATATCTTTGGAAAATAAAATTTGCCACAGCATCAGTGAATAGACCATAGACTCTGAAGCCTATCTTCCTGGGTTCATATCCCACCTCTACCACTAATTACTTGTGTGACTGTGTACAAATTATTTATCCATACTGCCTCTATGTTCCTCTCTCTGAAACAGCAATATAGTGTTTACTACCTGATATGGTATGGCTCTGTGTCCGTACCAAATCTCATCTCTAATTGTAATCTGAGTTGTAATCCCCGCATTTTGGGCGAGGGACCTCATAGGAGGTGATTAGATCATAGAGGTTGTTCCCACATGTTGTTCTCATGATAGTGTGTGAGTTCTCTTGAGATCTGATGGTTTTATAAGGGACTTTAGCCCCCTTCACTCTGCACTTCTCTCTCCTGCTCCCCTGTGAAGAGGTGCCTACTGCCATGATTATAAATTTCCTGAGGCCTCCCAATCATGCAGAACTGTGAGTCAATTAAGTCTCTTTCTACATAAATTACCCAGTCTTAGGTGTTCCTTCATGTCAGCATGAAGGCAGACTAATACAGTAAATTGGTACCACATAGAGTAGGGTGCTGCTATAAAGATATCTGGAAATGTGGAAGTGACTTTGGAGCTGAGTAACAGGCAGAGGTTGGAACCATTGGTAGGTCTCAGAAAAAGACAGGAAGATGTGGGAAAGTTTGGAACTTCCTGGTGACTTATTGAATGGCTTTGACAAAAATGCTGATAGTGATATGAACAATGAAATTTAGGCTGAGGTGGTCTCAGATGGAGATGAGGAACTTGGGGACTGGAATAAACGTGATTCTAGCTATGCTTTAGCAGAAATTGGTGGCATTTTGTCCCTGCCCTAATGATCTATGGAGCTTTGAGCTTTAGAGAGAAGATTTAGGGTATCTGGAGGAAAAAATTTCTAAGCAGCAAAGCATTCAGGATGTGACCTGGGTGCTGTTAAAAGCATTCAGTTTTATGTATTCACAAAGAGATGGTTTGGAATCGGAACTTATGTTTAAAAGGGAGCAAAGCATAAAAGTTTGGAAAATGTGCAGCCTGATGATGCAATAGAAAAGAAAAATCCATTTTCTGAGGAGAAATTTAAGGCAGCTTCAGAAATTTGTATATGGGATGAGGAGCCAAATGTTAATCACCAAGACAATAGGGAAAATGTCTCCAGGGCATGTCAGAGGCCTTCGTGGCAGTTCTTCCCATCACAGGCCCAGAGGCCTAAGACGAAACAAATGGTTTAGTGGGCCAGGCCCAGGGTCTTGCTTCTTTGTGCAGTCTTAGGACTTGGTACCCTGCATCCCAGCCATGGCTAAAAGGGGCCAACGTACAGGTCAGACTGTTGCTTCAGAGGGTGCAAGCCATAAGCTTTGGAAGCTTACATGTGTGGGGACTGCAGGTCTACAGAAATCAAGAATTAAGGTTTGGGAACCTCCACCTACATTTCAGAGGATGTATGGAAATGCTTGGATATTCAGGCAGAAGTTTGCTGCCGGGGAAGAGCCCTGATGTAGAACCTCTGCTAAGGCAGTGCAGAAGGGAGAGGTGGGGTTGGGGCCCCCACTGGTACATTGCTTAGTGGAGCTGTGAGAAGAAGGCGACTGTCCTCAGGACCCCAGAATGGTAGATCCACCAATAGCTTGCATCATGTGCCTAGAAAATCCACAGACATTCAATGCCAGCCCATGAACACAGCTGGGAGGGGGGTTGTACCCTGCAAAGCCACAGGGATGGGGCTGTCCAAGGCCATGGGAACCTACCTCTTGCATCATCGTGATCTGGATGTGAGACATGAAGTCAAAAGAGATTATTTTGGAGCTTTAAGATTTAATTACTGCCTTGTTGGATTTCAGACTTGCAAGGGGCCGGTAGTCCCTTCGTTTTGGCCAATTTCCCCCATTCCCTAGGAAGTAACTAACTTGCTTTTGATTTTGTAGACTCGTAGGTGGCAGGGACTTGCCTTGTCTGAAATGAGACTATGGACTTGGACTTTTGGGTTAATCTTGAAATGAATTATGACTTTGGGGGGCTATTGGGAAGGCATAATTGTATTTGGAAATGTGAGGAAGATGAGATTTGGGAGGGGCAAGGGGCACAAATGATATGGTCTGGCTCTGTGTACCCACTCAAATCTCATCTTGAATTGTAATCTCCATATGTTGGGGTAGGGACCTCATGGGAGGTGATTAGATCATGGACCTGATACCCCTATGCTGTTCTTGTGATGGTGAGTGAGTTCGCACAAGATCTGATGGTTTTATAAGGGGATTTTCACCACTTCACTCTGCACTTCTCTCTCCTGCCACCCTGTGAAGAAGTGCCATTTGCCATGATTGTAAGTTTCCTGAGGCCTCCACAGTCATGCAGAACTGTGAGTTAAACCTTTTTCTTCATAAATTACCCAGTCTTGAGCATTTCTTCATGGCATAAGTAATGAGGATCCAAATGTTAATTACCAAGACAATGGGGAAAATGTCTCCAGGGCGTGAGAATGGACCAATACACTGCCCAATAGTATTATTTTGAAGATTAAATGAGATAATATGTGTAAAAATGCCATGAACAATTCCTGGCATATAGTACGTACAATTTAGTGTTGGCTGGTATTATTATGAAGCTTGAAAGTATACAAATATATAAGAGTTCATGTGCTTCTCAGTAATACGTAATTTTTTCAACACACAGCTGCAGGGTCAGCAGGCTTTTAATACCTTTTCTTCAAAGGATGCCCATAACCATTCAGTCCCTCTCTGAACAGTGTGCTGGGAATCACCTTGATTCTTACACTTCTTAATAATCATTGTTTCCATAGGCAACAGTACTGCCTGCAAAGTAATTGTGTCTTTGAGTCTGAAACCAATTGACAAATTGTTTTGTTCCCAGTTCACAGTTACTCAAACAACTACTAAAGAATTGATTATGAGGAGTAGGAGGAAGCAAGGCATCATGATTTAGTCTGTGACTCAGAAAATACATTTTGAATCTGTGAAAACAAAGTCAAGATTTAAACTAAATCCATGTGGTTGTCAAAATGCTTAGGCCAATAAACCTTCCTTATTTTCCTGCTTTTATCCCCATAAATTTTCAAGATAATTGCCTTAAATCTTTCTATCTGCTCTTTATTAGGATGTGGAGAGCCATTAACTGTGCTACCTCTTTTACTCATGGCTGTTTCATTCTGGGATGGGAAGGATGGAGACATGAATGTAGTGCTCCTTAAGTTTCTCCTCTGTGACCCTTTCAGGCCTTAGCTAAGATGAGAGATTTGCCGACAAGTAGATGAAAACAAAGCATTTGTGAGGCCTGAGGCCACAAACTGTACCCAGAGAAATGTGTAAAATTATAAGAAAAATACTGAAGAAAAGAAATTTGTAACTCCCTACCTTAACCCTAATGAACTTGGGAGCATTTTCTAAATATTGCCTTAGGTACTTAGGGACATGGGAGCCATTTCAAGCTTCTGTGTCTCTGTTTGAAACTAGAATTTAGGAGAAAATAATATATAACTTATTGTGTACAGATTAGGAGGCAAGAGTCCTTAGTTCTAACATCAAAAGTAAAACTGCCATAATATGAAAACATTATCTTCACAATAGTGCTGTGTTTTGCATTGTCAGCCCTACTGATGTATGGTAAATATGAGCAAAAGCCCTTAAGATTCACTTTCCTTATTTAAAATAATGTTACCAATTTATATGATTGAGAGCATTACATCAGTTTTCTATTGTTGCATGCCAAATTACCACAGTCAGTAGATCAAAATAATATTGACTTATTATCACACATTTCTGTAAGTCAGAAGTCCAGTCAGACTTAACTGATTTTTCTGTTAGGGTTTCACAAGCCTAAAATCAAAGTGTTAGTCAGGCTGTGGGCAGGAGCTCAGCATCCCCTTTCAAGCTCATGTGGTCATGAATTCATTTTCTTAGTTCAGTTGATTCTAAGGCCCCCTGACTTTCCATTTCCTTGCTGGTTGTCAGCCAGGGGTCGCTCTCAAATCCTACAGTCTACCTATTTTCTTCTCATGTGACCCTTTCCATCTTTAAAGCCACCAATAATGCATTGATCCTTCCCATGCTCTGGATCTGTCTGACTCCAGTGTCTCTGACCCAGATTTAAAGGATTCATATGATCAGTTCAGACCTACCTAGATAATCCTCTATCTTAAGGTCAACTGAATTGAGGTCTTAATTACATCTGTAAAATCCTTTCACAGCAGTAGCAAGATTAGTATTTGATTGAATAACTAAGAGAAGTTTTACGTCCAGAAATGGCCAGAAATATTGAGGGCTGTCTTAATATTATCCCTATTATGAGAATGAAATGGGACAAAGACCATAAGGCTATAAAGCCATTGTAACAAACCTCCTGGAATATATAAACACTCAGGAAGTTTTTGTTTGCTATCATCATCATCACCAATGTCATTATAATTACCATCATCAATAGAAGATAGGGAGCAGCGGCACCTTCAGTCTGCTTTGGCTGAAATGCAACAAAATTGAATAAGACAAATGAGCTATTCATCAGTGTTCTTTCTTTATCAAATATAATTCCTATAAATTATCAGTTTAAGTAGAGATATATGGAAGCAGATACAAATCCAATGCACATTTTCTTAAATTTTACTTAATCATTAATGCTCAGCTTAAGTGCAAGCACCTTCTCTAGAAAGCTCTAACTCATACTACTTTTCTTTTTTCCTTAATTAGGGAATTCTTGTATGCTTTTAGCACCATTTTATTTCACTATATTCTGTTCTCCAAGTAGTATTTAGACTCCTTAAGGATAGAAATCAATGTCTATAATTCCTAGGATATGACCTGGCAAAATAAAAGTGCTCTGGAATTATTTGTTAAATAAAAAAAAATCAGTGGAAATGTGAGAAAATATATGTTTTCATATATTATGTTACCTAAAACTAAAGCAAAGAATGAAAACTATTGATGTAGTGTAATGTACAAAATATGTTGATGAATTAGAATTTGGGTAGAAATTATAATAACTGTTGTTATTGCTCCTGTTATCATCCTTAGACAGGTGCAAATGCAGGCATGTATTTGGCCTAAAGGAAATCCAGTATATGCACCCAGGATGTCCTGCCAGGCAGGCGACTGGGCTATGGCAACACAGCATCTAGGAACTGATAATATTTAGATACCCATGAAAGCAGTCCACATTAGGAAGGAGGGCCTTAGTCATAGGTGTTTGGAAGCTGTCCAGGTGTGAGAGACTGACAAGAACAAGATGTTGTCCCAATCCTAAAAAGAGAGGAAACTAACAAATAGATTCCAGCAAAGGTAGAACAAGTTAAAAATAAACTTCCATAGCAGGATATGGGAATGCAATTCTTAGGTCAGAAATAAGGGTGGACACATGAAGGCTATGTCCCCTGCCTGCAAGTAGAATAGACCCCATATCTGGAGAAGGACATAGATTCAGCTGTTAAGTTGAAAAAAGTCCAGAGTCAGGAAGATCCTAAAAACAAGACATCAGAGTTAAGATTTCCCCCCATTAGTATATATAAAAGAAAGTAAATGAACTGTTGTACTACACAACTATGTCCCAGTATAGATCCAGGTTAATTTTGGACATGATAACTCTGAGACACAAGAAATATTTTTGCTTTGCAGTTTGTGTGGAAGAACTTGGAGAACCAAGACATAAATGCAGACAGGAGCATTTATGATCACCTCACTAAAGCTCCTCATATTAATGATGACAGGAACTGCCATTCAAATATATTTTTAGACTGGACCACCTGACTTTCTATTCTAACAATACACTATGTAGCAATGTGAAGTTTTATCCATATAGGATTTGAATAACAAAAATATAAAATTTAGTTCTTAATCATTCCCTTTGAAAAAGTTTTACACCCAGATTAATTAGGGATCAAGAACTATGATTCTTAGCTTAAAGGTTAGGGAAACTCCTAGACACTAGAACAAGTCCAAGTGGTGGTATTACAATTCAGAATTAAATTTTACCATGTATACAAAATGCTGTAGCAATAATACTTATAGGCATATTATAGAATAAATCTTGTTACTTAAAAATGTGTGTATATACACTTATACAAACATATAATGTGTATATATGAATACTAGCATATATATAACTTAGATATCATGTGTTTTGATGCATACACATGCATACACATGAACTTACTACTTCATCACTTTTATACATAATACTTAAAACTAATGTTTTCATAGGTTTATTGAACCACAGTGGAATTAGTATAGTCTTGACAGTGGAAGAATGTGGATATAGAAGGATGAATAAATTAAGGATTATCCTTCAATCTCCTCTTTACTGTCTATCCAACTGTTTTTTTGTCTTCTAAGCACTATCTCAATACATTCTAACCCTGAATGAATATAACATTATATATATATAACACTATGGAGAGAATAAGGGTCAGGGTAGTTTTGATGGCAGGTTTTGGTTTTATGTGGGAAGGATTTATTTGCGGAACTCTAGTTGGAAGGAAAACAACTGAAAAGTAATTTTCCAAAAGGGGAAGATCTGTGATTATGTGTTTGAAAATATTTTGATTTCTATTAGAAACTCTTAAGACATTACTTTGTTTCATTAAGATGTCATAATGATGGTAATATTTCCTGATTATTTTATTTCAGATATACATTATTAACAAAATCATGAACTATGTAAAAAAGAAAAAGAACTATGTAAAAAAGAAAAAACTATGCAAAAAGAAATAACTATTATTCTTAGTAATAAGAATGCATTTTTATAGGTCAGAACAGTAGGAATCTGCAATGAAAAGCCCTCGAGTTATTCAAAATTATGAAAAGAAAAAGGCGCTTATGTAGCTTATATCTCTGCCTACTTACATCTCTGACTGCCTATTTAATGCTTTTTTTGTTTTTTAAAAAAGCATAATGTTTTGTAACAGATACCTGGGGACAAAGAACTGCAGCATTAAAAGCTTACTGTACTGTAATTCACGACTGATGCCTCATAGCCCAGTAAAAGAATAGCAAGCCTTATGGAAGATGCTTCAAGTCCAGACTAGTTTTTCACCTGTTCCTTTGGCTCCTTTTTTGATGGATATCAAATATCTACAAAATTCAAGGCTGTCTTCATCATTGTCATCATCATCAGTTCTTTTAATTTTCCTTTCATTTCTAGTGAATTTTAACAACTTACCATTATAAATATATAACTATTTACTTAAAGTATTAAATATATTGAATGCTTTTTTGCCTTATATATAATAAAGGTATGTATGACTATAAAAATATGTTGCATTTTTTAAAAAGGAAGACTACTTTTGAGAGTAAAAGCACTGGAAAACATAAAAAATGTGGTTTCCAATTTTATCTTTTAAATAATAAATAAGCTAAAATGCCTCCTTACCCAAAATATCAGTGTAATAAGAAGAAAAAGATAATTATTTGCATTTATGATGATTGTGGTGGCCAAGTAGAAAAACATTTACATTTAGAAATAATTCTGATGTCATTAAAATCATCTTTTATAGATTACTGTAGTAGAGAGCATAAAATGCATTTGTACTGCAAAACATTTATGTTTCATACTTATCAACTAACCATAGTATTCTTTAACCAAACTGACCGTGACTAATTACTCTTCTCTAATGGTGTACATAGCTTTAAATAATTTTTATTGGTAAAGAATGTGGTCTCATATTCTTTTTGCTGCTTTGTCAGTATGAACACAGATTAAGGGACCTTCAGGCTTTTGAGCATGGAAGTGAAATAATTCACCTTGCAGGAGGTTCTTTGATTCTGCATTTTAATGTTTCTACTCATATGCAGAATGAACTACAAACATAGACTAATAGTATGATATGAGTGCATCAAAATGACCACTCTTCATGGAGATATTTTCACTAATTGTGGCATGAGATATTTCTCCTGTGAATCAAGACTGCAAATTAACGCAGAACAGAAAACCAAATAGCACGTGTTCTCAGTTATAAGTGAGTGCTAAACAACAAGAATACATGGACACAAAGATGGTAACAATAGATATCCAGGCTGACTTGAGAGGAGAAGGTGGGAGGAGGGTGAGGGTTGAAAAACTACCTATTGGGTACTATGCTCATTACCTGGGTGACAAAATCATTTGTATACTAAACCCCAATGACATGCAACTTATCCATCTAACAAAACTACACATATACCTCCTGAACCTAAAATAAAAGTTGAGAAAAGGAAAATAAAATGACTGAAGTCCCCTCTACAAATTCATGTATTTTATCTGAAAAAATATATTCAATATAATATATAAATTATATACGATATATATACATACACACACACACACACACACACACACACACACACACACAAAACACCATACTGACACAGTATCAGTTATCAGGTTATTTTGTTCTTTCTTAGGAGCATTATGTTACAATGAGGTGTGTTGGGTTAATGCATGTGGGGTATAACCAGTGGAAGTGGAACTTGGCATTTGACATTTCCCAGGGAGGCTCTGACAGTTCAGAGGCCAGCAGTAGAAGGGGAAAAGCACTTACATATTTTGCAGAGGCCTGGTACTTGCTAAGTGCTTTAAAAATGTTTTTGGGATGAAAATGATTGAATCTTGACAATCAGTTATCATTTTTTCTTGTAGCCAGACATACTTATGCTTCTCTCACCTCTTGCCAGTTAAAGGCTCTCTGTGATCTTTGGTGTAAAGATGGAGATATAAATACCTACCTTACTGGCTTGTGATGAAAATTAATTGAAATAAGATACATCTCAAATATGCCATTAGAATGCCATTATGCAAAGGTGGGAAATCATAGCATTGTTTTTGGCATCATCTTCAACAAGCATTTCCCCTTCACTCAATTTCTTTTTTACTGCCCCTAACTGCTATGTGAAACAGAACCTCCGCTTTCCTCCTTTTTGTGGTCAAAAATATATGTTCAGCTAGGTTCCTCAGGGGTATTTAGTATTTTTTTATTTTTTTCTTAAGAATACATCTGAAAATGCTGTATTAAACCAGAAGCTTATTTCTATAAAGACCAGACTACTTCGTTTTATTCTGTATTATCACTTATATTATTTAGAAAATTGAAGTGATATTTGTTCTGTATATTTTAAATGGAAACATAAAATACAGATAACTTGGAAATTCAAGTGCACTATCAGGATTTTACAGAGTTATAAATAACTCTCATTAGTTACTGGGCAGTCTTCATACTACATGATATATTTTCAAATGCAACCATCTTTTCCTATGAACCATTGCTGTGGCATACAACATGTGGGGTAAAATTGCATCTTTTAAATGTCTGTCAGAATCAAGTATATAGCCCCTTTCAGAAATAGTCATACATTTTAAGTGTAAAGGGTGTTTTGTACATAACCAAAATTATACCCATGCTAGGTATTAAATACTTTTTTCAAATTTTTTAAGCATTTGTGTAGATTCTTTTGTCATTATGCACTATATTACTTTTCCAATTACATGATATTTTATTTATTTGTATAAAATCATTTACTAATAGTTTTTAATGTACCCTTTAAGAAAAATAGACTCAAAAGCGAGGTTTGTAAATGTAAGAATATGCCTTCTGAAATTAATACCAAATTCTCATAATGTGAATCATGCTTGGCAGATAATGAATATTCTGTTAATATTTTTGAATAAGTACATCACTGAAAGATATATGTTGAATGCTATAGGGCACTTATTAAAATTATTACATATTTTTATAATTATATGCTAATTACATAATCATTCATTATTATATAATCTTCAGGATCTGCCAAGAAAGCCAACTCCCAATTATTTACATTGAAAGAAAAGAGTTAAATAACATGTTTCAAGCTTATTTATTTTTCTTACATTTACATAAAAATAATAATGAAGCCAAATCATGATGATTTCAATCAATAAGTGAAACTACAAAAGACTAGTTATTTTCTATTATCTAGAAAATGGAATTTAAATCCTATTTAATCTTAGAGCATGATTGAATCATATTTTCATTTTACAAATGAGGAAACACAATTGATTGGGGTCAGATTACTCAGTTAAAAGTGACAAAACTGAGACTCACACCCATTCTGTTTTATTCCATCCTCATGATCTTAACTACTGGACTTTATCACTTGTTCTTTGTTCTTTTTTTCTTCACTTTTTTTTAAAACACCCTAACTTTGGAGAATCCTAAGATAGTAAAAATATAACTCTTATTATTTCAGCAAAAAAAGTAATCAAGTGTACTGAAAATTAAGATTATTGAACTGGAGCAGACAAAGTAAACAAGCCAATGAATATAGCATATTATCTGTTGCTCAAATATATACTCTGCAACAAGAAGAAAGAGGCAAAATGTAAAAATGATTTTCAGGGGAAGAACAAATTATAAGTTGCATTGATCTGGAGCAGGCATACTCACATAAGAAAATTGTGGCAAGTAAAACCTGCCATGAAATTAAAGGAAGAGAAATAAAACTAGAACAAAAGTGGCATGAAAACCATCCTTTTCTTCTTACATTAGTGAGCATTGATTTTTTTAAATATAATTTATATCAGTGGCTTCAATATGCCTTCCTCAACTAAAGCAGTTTTTTTTTTTAAGATGTGCAAGCACTTGTGTATGACAAACACAGCTCTTAGTGTATAGAGTTCCCATCAAGTTATTGGCTGAGAAATGTTTTACAGCAGGAGATTTAATCTTGTGTATAAGTTGACATGCCTCCCTTTTAGTGCTTTTTGTGTTGGGTTTTTGCTGAATTGTAAGCCATACACAATAATTCATTCTCTTTAAGTCAACATTTCTTAATAGTGTGACTTTCAGTACTTTGAATTCAACATTGCTGTTATATAGTTGAGACCTATGTGTATAATTAGAAAGTAGTGTAGAAAAACTAAAATATGTTTTTCTTTTTTTTTTTTTTTTTTTTTTTTTTGAGACGGAGTCTCGCTCTGTTGCCAGTCGCCAGGCTGGAGTGCAGTGGCACGATCTCGGCTCACTGCAACCTCCACCTCCCGGGTTCAAGTGATTCTCTTGCCTCAGCCTCCCAAGTAGCTAGGATTACAGGTATCCACCACCATGCCCAGCTAATTTTTGTATTTTTAGTAGAGACAGGGTTTCACCATGTTGGCCAGGTTGGTCTCAAACCCCTGACCTCAAGTGATCCTCCTGCCTTGGCGTTCCAAAGTGCTGAGATTACAGGAGTTAGCCACTGCGCCCGGCCTGAATATATTTTTCTCAATTTCTAGCAGAATTTGTCAGATTTACCAAAATTCACTGACTAAGCATTATTGAGGGATATACTATGTTAAAAAAACACAGCAACATGTATTTGTGCCTATAACTTTCTAAAATTTGTTAAGAACCACTTTGGTTGGTACTGTATGGTGTAATCTTGCCCATATTTCAAATTGTCAATGGTCTCCTAATTTGCAGAGCTTCCACTACTCTGATTCCATGTTGTTTTTTATGGCATTTGATGAAATTTCAAATATTTTTAGAGAAAAAAATATTAACTAAGAAAATGTTTGATCTATTAGTTAATTCTCATCCAGTCAGGCAAAAACCTATTACTTTTAAAATTTTGCACTAGGTAAAAATTGTCCACCACTAAAACGTACAAATGCTTCAGTAGCTTAAAATACAGCTGGCTAACATGCCATAGAAAACAAAAACTAGTTATTTGATAATAATAAAGTTGTTCCTCATGGCCAATGATTTGGAGCTAGGCTGGGCTGCATTTGCTGGATTCTGCCACCTATGGTGATGTCTTACACGTATTAGAACACTTAATCTTGGCTTCCCCATCGGTGGAATGGGTAATATTGTACTTCCCAGGATTGTTGTGAAAATCAAATGAGATCATGTATGTAGAATTCTTGACTGTCTATCATAATGAGGGCTCAGTAAATTGAGCTTTTATTAATGTTGTACTATAAAGATTTCAGTTTGTCTTAGTAATACCAAAACTCTCTAGACCTTAATTATTATTGTTTTATAATCTTGTTTTAGCATTCTATATATTTAACACCTTTTTGAGCAAATAAATACTAAATGTTTGTTCCTATCTTGGTAGCATGCTGAATTTGAATCATAACACAGTACCGAAATTGTCATCATGTAGGTAAATTGCCATAGCCCATTGCCATCTGAACTGTTCTTATCATAATATATGGCATTAACACCCCTCTAATTCAAAGATAACACTACATTTGTTGACGATTATCATCTTTTTTTATGAGGTAGCATCTGGAGAAATCAGTGTGTGTGCACTAGGAACAAAAATACTGTCTGCACATAACCATTACAAAAATAAGTGTTTGATTTGGTTTGTGGCATCTGGTGCAATTTGCAAAGCAGGTTTATATTTCTGAATTAACTTTTTTAAATTATGAAATATTATTAACATATTGAAAGATATGCAGAATAATATAACATACCCCCATAGACTCCCCAAATACATTTACTTAATATTAAAAATTTTCAGTATTTAGTTGATTTATTTTGAAAAAATAAAGCATTACAGTTTTGTTGAAACTTCTTTTTCACTTCTCCTTATCCTGATTTCCCTCCTTAGAAGTAACTAGTTTACCTAAGTTGATAAGTTCCTGTTTATATTTTTATTCTTTTACTGCATCTACAGGCATCCATAAACATAGTATTCCTTAATAATTGAGATATTTGTGTCTTATTTATATCACATATACCCTATAAACATGTACACATATTGTGTATCAACAGATAAAAACTGACCCTACACAATGACATATATATTCCTACATTTACTTGTTCGTTTTGTACATTTTACTTTTTGGATTTAGATTTTTATCTGAAATCTATTTATAAATATTGTGAAGTGGGTTTCAGATTTTCCTTTTTTTCAGCAATAAGTTTACTGTCCCAACATATTTGCTAAATAGCACATTGCTTCACCACTGGTTTCTAATATCTACACACTGTTGTACAGCAAGTTCCCTTGTAGGCATGAATCTGTTTCTGAGCATTCTCTTCTTTTGTGTTTATCTCTAAGTAAAATTAAAGATATTAATCATCGAAGCTTTGTAATATCTTGATATTGAGTGGAGGAAACCCTGCATTACTGGTCTTAATCTTCTTAACTGTTTTCTTGGCCCCTCTTGGCTCTTCATACTTGTCTCTGAATTTTGGTATGGATACACACAGGTACACACAAGCCACAAACCTTTTAGAATTTTAATTAAAGTTGCATTGTATTCACAAATTAATTTGGGAAAGGCTGACATCTCTCTGATACCGAGTCTTTCTATTCAGGAACATGCTATATTTCTTCATTCAAAATATACTATATTAAATTAATGTATATTTTTACAACTCCTAGCTAACTTACAGATTTGAAGAAGAGGGGCTTGAAAGTTTTTTTGGTGTGTTTTCTAATTCGCAGTTGTCATTGTGACTTTTCAGCAGCAACAATGAAAGTAAGGTGAGAGGAATGATATTTTCAGAGTGCCAAAAGTAAAAAAAAACTATCACTCTACAACGATATACTCTATGTATACCACATACAATTTCAAACTCAGTGTTTTCAAAATAAGAGCCAAATTAGTAAAGAAAAACTAATTGGTATATCTACCAACAGATGCTCATAAAGAAAATTTTGAAATGATGTAAAAGAAAAGTGATATCAAGTGGAAATTATGAATTTCAAGAATAAATAAGAGGATTGACATATGCTTTAAAAAGATAAATAAATTTGATTATGTAGGAAAACTAATATGTGATTAAATATAGAAATATTTAATATAGAAACTAATATAGAAATAAATATGAATATAAGTTAATATAAAAACCAGCAGCATATGCATCAAAGGTTAGGAGCGGTGGATGGAATTACAATGTTCTAATGTTGTAAAGTCTTATTTTTTACGAAGTAGGTACAGATTTCAACTTTAGACTTCAGACTTTGATGAATTAAGTATACTAATTAAAATTTAATTGCCAAATTAAGATTTCAGTAAGCTAGAGAGACAAGGAATAGAAACAGAGTGTAATTTCTAAACTAGCAGGAAGCAAAACATTAAAAGAGAAGAAAAAAATATTTGGCAGATTTAAGAAAAAGGAAAGAAACACACAGACCATGAAGGACAAATCAAAAAAACAAGATAAGATGGTAGGAATTAAATTCAAATATATCAACAATTATAATAGTTATAAATGGACTAAATTAAAAGGCAAATATTATAAAGTAATAGGAAATATTTATATCAAATATGTATATATCAGGAAATTTTTAAAAAGAAAACACAACTAGTTATGTTAATATCTGAGCAGTATGAGAGTAAGGCCAAAAAAAGCCCTGCTAGAGACAGAGGGTAACTTCATAATGATAAAAATTTCAGTACACCTATAAGTTGTAATGATTTTCATTTTTATTTTTGATCTGCATCCAGCAACTGCAGAATCACATTCTTTTCAAGCGCATGCGTTCATTTAGGATAATTTATCATGAAAAGACTCTAAAACAAATACATCCTATTTCAAAAAACTTTAAAATATAATTTTTGATCTCAATTAATTTAATCTCTGAAGAAATAAGAAACAGCTTGTATATAACTAATGCTTTGAGGGAGAAATTCAAATGGCTATGAAAAAATATTTATAATTCAATGATAATAAAAATCTTACACGTTAAAACTTGAGAATGTAGTTAAAGCAATACTTGGACATAAACTTAGCACATATTAGTAAAGAACATAGGCTAAAATTTAAGGAGCCAAGCAAATATTTTTTTGAAAGAAAGATGAAGAAAAGAAAATCGGTCCCAAAGAAAACAGTAGAAGAAAAAAAGAATAATGAAAACGATGAAATAGAAACATTCCGGAGTGAGGCAGGGGAAAAAAACAGAGCCGGAAGTTGATCATTTAAATAATGGCAATAAATTTCGCAAACCTCTGATTTAAATAATAAAAAAAGGGAAAACTCACAGATTAATAAAATTTGCTAAGGAGATCAAACTATGGACATTAAAATAATGAATATATTATAAGGAACGTCATTCCAATAAATATGAAAATTTAGATTAAATGAACAAATTTCCAGAATAATATAACATGACAAAATTGGCTAAAGAAGAACTAAAAATTCAAGTGACCCTATAGCTGTTAAAGAGATGTTGCAAATCATAACCTATCTTTTCTACTGAGAAAATTCTAGACCATAATGACTTCACTGATGTGTTATGTTATACATTCAAATAATAAATGCCAATGTTTACACAAACTATTCCAGAATATAGAAAAGGGGTAAACCATTCAAGGGTTCATTTCATTGAAGCTACATAAATTGGATGTCAAAACCTGAGGAGCAGTGCATGAAAGGTAAATTACTGAATGCTACTGTGCATAAGCACAGATGCAAAAATTCCTAAACAATGAATAACAATAATTTTAAAAAGAAAATATATCATGTAAAAGTTAGATTTATCCCAAGAACACAAGGTGATTTAGTTTTAAAATCCATAAATAACCTCATCCCAAGGACAGATTAAAAAAGTAAGTGATTTTTCTTTAACTTAGTTATTTTGAGGACTATGTGAAACCATCCAGGTAAAGAGCTTGTTAAGTTGAATTGCCATTAAAGAATTATTCTTATTGGTTCAGGCTGCTGTTGTCTGCCTCTGCTGTTTTTTTTTTTTTTTAAGTCCCAAGTAAGGTGTACTGTGAAAGCTTTGATTAACTTCTTTAGCAATTTCTGCTTTAAATTGCATTCACTTAAGCATCTTTCAAATCTAACGGATTGAAAATCTTGTTGAAATAAAAGGACAAATTCTTCCAAACAAGTAGAGAAAAAATTAGAAGAGCACTCTGGTGAGCACCCAATGAGGAAATCCTTCTAATATTTTACTTTTACACAGATTTGTATTTTATTTCTTATAAAGACATCTTCTGAAAAGCACCCCTAAATGGAAAACACGTTTTTCATTTTGGTCAGTACAATCCATAATCTTGCTCTGGATATAAAATGTCTTTGATTTTACAGGGGGTTATATGCCTGAGTCAATTCACTAGCACCCAAACCAACATAAATAATAGATAATCATTTATACTGCATCTTTATAAAACATTATTTCACAAGAATTTCAATTAGCATTATAATAATCATCTCATGGAATTTTGCAATTCCTAATTAATAATTGAGCCTTACTTTATTTCCCTGACAATAAAGTAAGCATAGTGGTGCCTTCACTGGATTTTTGTGAGGATTAGGTGAGATAAATGTACTTCAACAGCTTTTCACTTGTTACCAGTATACATGTGGCCATGCATCCATTAAAGTTATTTTATTTACTAACCAAAGTCTGAAACTCTAGACCCAAAGAAATAACTTGAAAATTATTCTCCTATTCACAAGTCATTTAGGAGTAAATAAATTACGACAAACCAGGGCCTTTCCTATAAGAGCCACCCCAAAGCCTGTTTTTTGTGTGTCAAAAACAAAATGTTGAAACGCATACCTTACAAGGTCTCCAATTTATTTGGTGGAGTTTTGTTGAGGCTAGTCTCTATACATAGGTCTTCCAAACATGTTACTTGCCTATACAAATAATTCTTTTTGAAACACTAATACTATACGTTTTTTCTTTCCATGCTTGTGTGCTTAGCAATTTCACTTTTTAAATTTGTTTCTTTATTCTTTCATATTTATTAAATCTATTACATAATATTGATTTTTGCTTTTACTACCAATTATTCTAATAACTTCATTTAGTTTCTTGCTATGCCAATACTTTTCTCCTACTACTTTACTTTCTATTTTAAATACTCAAGTTTTGCTTTTTCAATTTGTCTTTTCAAATTGCTAATGTCTATTAAATGCTGCTCTGCTAATATTGGGTTTTCTACAAATATTAACTAATAAGTAGATATATAACTTTTCAAAGTAAGGTAGTACTAATGTCATATTAATATTTTGAAGATTATTAGATGCCAACCACTATTCTATTTTATATAAATTACAAGATAGCTACTCGTTTTCTTACGACGATTTTGCAGATGAGAAAACTGAGGCATAGAGAGATAAAGAACTTGCCAAGTAACTAAGTGATAAAGCGATGATTAAAACACTAGAATTTTCAGTTTGGAAATCTTACTATTAACACTTTCAGCCTATTGTATCTCTAATTTATCTTCACTATTTTTATATGTATCTTGGGTTAAATATATTTTTAAAATTTATTGGAAAATTTTGTATAGATTTTTTTCAGGCATCATGATATATAATATTTATAAATATAATCTATGAACATTTTACTTCCTAGGAATGGCATATTCTTTATAAACTTCAATTTGGTTTCAGTAAAACTTGTAATTGAAAATTATTCTCCTATAATCAGCATTCTAGTTTAAAAAAGAAAATCAGAAAACTTGGGAGTTTTCCGTTTAAATAAAATTAGCCTATCTGAATTTACTCTGTAATAGAGTTTTACTTAATTAGATATGTGGTATCTATCTTTAAGAATAAGGGGAATATTACATTCACATAAAATATGTGAAACTCTTTTTCAAAAACCAAATAGGAATATGTGAGATACTACATAAATATCTCACAATTACATGTCAAATGTATAACAACAAATTGTTCTCATACATATTTTGCATGATAAAATAAAGCAACATTAGAACCCCAGCTGGAAGAAAACCTATTCTCTGTCTCTTATTAGAATACAATGTTGTTAAGCAAATGATTTGTTTGAAATGACACTAAGTGTAGAAATAATCACCACTGAAACCTTATTTAAAAGCTAGAAGTGGTAAAAGTCTTCAGTAATTTTTCTTCCCCAATATTTCTTTCATTAGTCATGGAAATAGGCCAAAGTCTAAAACACAATAGTATTTTAGATCATGAAAGTAGCTGACTAAGGTTTTCTTTGCCAATATATCTAATGCAATATTTTATTTTGTAACAACATATGAGACCATTATTTTGTCCGTATTTGTAAATAGAAAACTACTCAAATTGTTGGCCAACACTGATTTAGGATGCACTTAAAAAATTATTCCCAACAAATGTATGAATTCAATTTCACTAAAATATAGTACTTAGTTAATGCATTAGAATGTCTCTAACAATGATATATTATGTGGTGCACGCCTATGTGTTGTTATTCAGAACTATGCATAAAGTAACTTTAGAGGTGTACAGTTTTAGGGAACAGACTTATTTTGTAAGTTTCCTGAGCTGAGCTGAGATTATGATAAACTTTTACTGTTAAAATGCAGTCTGCTTATAAAAACTCATCTATAAAAGTAACATTACACTGTCATTTCCAAGAAAGAAGGTAATAACTTTTCCAAATGAATCTGATTGGAAGAAACCAGGAAATATGCAATTACTCAAATTGTCATTGGGCTGGAACACAGGTTAAGACCTTGATATTAGTGAAGAATACCAGGGCTTTTTAGATTCATAATGGGTCAGAGCAATTTACAAAGTAAAAAAGCCAAAACAAAACCAACAAAAAAATTAATGAGGAAGGATGAAGTGCCTAATATGAAACCTTTGACATTTGTTTAATAAAAGGCATAGGTAAGGCTGAGTAATCAGGTTCTAAAGAAAATTACTCCACGGTTTTTATTTGTGATGAAAAACCGCAAGAGATAAAATGTGTAAATTATTCACATTGTAGAATAGTATCTGTCATATAATATCCTCAGAAATTACAAGAAAGTTGAAACTGTGATCATAGTGAAGTCATACATAATTTCACTCAGTTTTATATTAAATAGAGATGGACACCCTTTGGCAGTTAATTTTATTTCTAAAAATGTGAACTAAAGAGATAATAAGCGATAAGGTCAAAGATTTATGTGCACAGATGTTCATTACAGCATTTTTTATAATAGCCAAATGTTGAAAACAAAGTATCTAATAAAAGAGACCTGGTAAAATAAATCATTGGACATTTCTAACAACACCGTAACTCTATGCACCAAAATAGCATACTTTTAAGAATATTTAATAAAGAAAATAACTTGCTTAATATACATATTTATATATAATTATATAATATTATAAACTACATTATAAAATATAAAATATACTGACAATTGTATAAAATATACAAAGATATTTATGTGAAGGAAATTATGGGAAATGAAACATTTTTTAAATTGTTATTGGGATTCTTTTTGGATTATGGGATTAAAATAAGCTCAAAATAATTTCCTATCCCTGTGCTAAACAATTCTATGACAAAGCACATATTCCTCATGTACATGTGTGTGAGTATTTGCTGGGCAATATTGAAAACCAGCAAAAAGATCTAAACTACTGCACCTGCTCCTTGAACCAACTAAAAAGTTTACTTACCACGACTAACTGCTTACTCATAAAAGCAGAGTTTAAGATCTTCACTTTTTTCTACCCACCAATATAGAATTATTAGGTCGTAAAATCTGCCTGATCCCACCTAATTCCCTTGCTTGCAAGACCCACCTCAAGATTACTCAGTTCATCACTTCAGATTCCATAGTTACTTTGTTTTAATTTTTTATTTAGAATCATAAATAAATTTAGCTTTGTTTCCTTTAGCAGATTGTTTGATCTTTGCTTTTCTAGCACTCTCTTGACAAAATTATGGATATTTTAATTTTCAAAAGTATTTTACAAATTTCTCCAATGAACATGTGTTAATTTCATTCAAATTGCTTATTAAGCAAATAAAATGTTATATTCAGTGATTAAATATGACCCCTAATCATGAAAAAGACTGTTTCATAAGAGATTCACTTAAATAAGCTAATATGTTTGGGGGATATGGAATATTTTTCAGAAGATGCGGTTTGATTAATTTAATAGCAAATTTTTCCACTTTGCACTACATTTTCCTTTTTCCTCTGTTCTCTCTCTCTCTCCCTCTCCCTCTTTCATTATTGGATTATAGAAACTAAATAAAAGTTCAATTTAAAGGCTAGCATTGTTTACACTTTTCAAACTGCCTTACAGGAGTGCTTGGTACTGATTACATGAGGTATCAGGGAACTATGTGTGTGTGTGTGTATGAACGAGAAAGAGAGAGAATGAGAAAGACTCTGTGCCTGTGTGTCTATATGTCTTGATTTGATATTAGCCAAGGATATAGTCAGCAGAAAAACAGATATATGTAATTAGTGACTATATTTGCCTGAATAAGTTAAACTGAATACAATTGGAAGAAAAAAAATAAGCATAGTTTCACCACATTTGACAATGAAAGCTCATTTCACACTATTGCTATTATTACGTAAGCAAAAAATGTATATACTTTTGTTTTCTCTTTTTTCCATCTGGAGGTGAGAGATGGATAACTTTTAAAAAATATATTCTAAAGCAATACATTTTAAATATAGACAATTTTTTAAAACATACAGAAAATAATGTAAAATATACGTAATCCCAATACTTCTTCATCTTCCTATTGTGGTTGGAACATATGATTTAAAAAAGAGAATCCTCTCACTATCCAATCCCATAGACAGTTATTTTTTAACAATTTTTATGTCTTTCCAATTTTCATATGCATATACACAAACACACATTTTATTTTTCAAAAAAGGGTCAAATTGCACTTCACCTTAGTAGCATATTTGTGAAATAAAGTCCTAAAAATATATTACTAGGTAATAAGGTATGTACATACTAAATTTTGATAACTGTTGTCCAATTACTCTTCAAAATATTTATACAAATTTATACTCTTACAAAAAATAGGAATATTACTTTTCCTACATTGTGAATAATAATGGTTATTGGCCATTTTTGTTGAGATGAGAGGCCAAAAAAGTGGTATCTTATTTTATAAATTAGCATTTCTCTAAGTATTAGATTCTGAGTAGCATGTTTGCACTCTTCCCTCTTTTTTGTTTTCTTTGATTGTCTGTTTTTTTTTGTTGTTGTTGTTTGTTTGTTTGTTTTTTTAGGACAAGGTCTCACTCTCTCGCCCAGGCTGGAGTATAGTGTCACGATTATGACTCATTGCAGCCTCCATCTTCCCAGGCTCAGGTGATCCTCCCATTTCAGCCTCTTGAGTAGCGGGGACTACAGACATGCGCCACCATGCCCTGCAAATTTTTGTATTTTTTGTAGAGACAGAGTTTTGCCATGTTGCCCAGGCTAGTTTCAAACTCCTAGGCTGAAGCAAACTGCTCACCTTGGCTTCCCAAAGTGCTAGTATTACAGGAGTGAGCCATTGTGCCCAGTGCATGCATATATTTTTAAAAGCTTGTAAAATTTGTACCAACTTAAAAATCCTAATATTGGTAACAATTAAAAATGAAACACTAACATTACTGTACGGATACATGTAGATTTAGAATTTTTTAAGAAAACATTTTTAATTAAGTTGAACCATGTGAAATTATCATTTGTAGGTAAAAATTTCAGTAGATATTGTCAATTCATGTGGTTCAACCTAATGTATTCACCAGAAATTATATGAAGAGTGTTAAGGTGAAACAGTTTATATTTATACATTTAATTGTATCAAATATTCACACCAGTTATTATTTGGAAGATGTATTTCATACCATATAAATTTCCAGATTAAACTGATTCAAAAACAAAATTGGTATGCAATGAGAAAAATTCTATTCTGAAATAAAGCACTCTTACTCATGTTGTGAGTTATTTCTCATATTACATTTGTATAGAATTTTTTAGTTTACCATTTCAAAATAATTGAAATCATCTTCATAGAATAATTATTGAATTACAAAGTGCACCTCTTGACAAAGTCATTAAATGAAGTAGATAATTTTTTAAACTTATCCAATTACTATAATAATTAGAGTAATAAATACTTTTCATATGCTTAATGAGAAGCTATACCTCAGAACATGAGTCTATGATTCCTAAAATACTAAAAATTTTTAGGAATATACATGTGTTTTCAAATTAAATAACATTTTAATAAATCTCTGAATCCAAATATTAAAGTAATTCAGGCTTGGAAAACTATTTTAAAAAATATTTCTAGCTGGGAAGCCTATACTTATTGTTAGATTTAATTTTAGGGTTTATTTTTTAACTGAATTAAAGAAAACTTACTTGACAGAGTCATTCTAAGGTTTGTTTTCATGCTTCTTTAATAAGAAATGAATGCTGTAATCCAATTGCTTCAGTGATTCACACTTTATAATTTAAAAGAATGATGCCTGATATTATCAAGTAATCTTTAACAACCATTCACATAATTAAATGCTGTATTTTTCTCCTAATACAACAGTCAGTAGTTTACATATGATGAACAACAAAGCCCAAGCTCATATAGGTAATGACTACTATTATTAATCTCCTATACATATTGTAATTTTATATAAAATAAAAATTTAATTAGTTTTAGAAAATAAATACATTTCACCTTTTTCTTAAGAGATGGTGGGGTTCTAAATTTTTTCATGGATAATCTTAATTATATAAGTTTATTTCAGCAAGAAAATCGATTTGATTTTATAATTCAAATTCACTGTATAAAACCATTGACACAATGTATTTTTAGAGCACAGAGCATGAATTTTGAAGGCAGGAGCTATGTCTTTTTTATCTTACTTCTTTTGCTTTTATGTATTTTCTTTCTTCAGTAAATATATAATGAGTGCTTGCTACATGCTAGATGCAGTGCTAGGAACAAAATATTCAAAGGAGCTCTCAGTCTTCTGCGGAGACTGACAAATAGATCATGACAATGCAACATGGAAAGCGCTGGGCTAGAGGACTTGTACCTCTTATAGAAAGTGATACGTATGCTGAGCTTAAAGGATGAGTAAAGATGTATCAGGCTAAGAAGAAAGACCAAGACATTCTAGGAGAAGGAGCGGTCTGTGAGAATGTATAGGAAATGAATGATAGGAAGTAACTGATTACAAATAAATTATATATAGATGAAAGCTGAATATCTTTATTGTTTCTAAGAAAGTGATGTGCATTTCATTAAACAATTATTTTCTCTTGAAAGTGTGGTAGCTTCAAGTACTGTACTCAATTATTCATTCCCCTGTAATAATGTTACACATCCATAACTTGGCATGGCCTCATGGTGCGCAGTATACATCCTCACCCCTTAACTATGGACCGGGCCATGTAAATCACTTTGGCCAATGTAATGCAGTATAAATTAAGAAAAGACATGGAATATTCTTGTGTCCCACTCTGTTTCTGCCATTGCCATAAGAAGAATATGGCCTGAGTAGCCATCTATTTCAAGAATAATGAGAGACATGTGGACCCAACCATCAGTTTGAAGTAAGTCCAGCCATGCTCAACCTAGATCAGACCGACCATATATACACATACAGACATATATGTATATGTATATGTATATGTGTGTGTGTATATATATATATATATATATATATATATATATATATATATATATATATACACAACCTTTATACACAGGTATAAAAAATGCATACTTATTGTTATATGCTATTAAAATTTTACGGTCTTTGCTATGCAATAATAGCTGAATAATACACAATCTTGAGCACAAATGTGACCATACTGGAAATCTATAAAAATCTTTTGAATAGAAGAAAGTACTTTAATTCATCTGTGATCGTTTATTGAGATTTAGATTTGTCTGTATTTATATAAATCATATTAAACTTCCACGTAATTCCACTCGAACTGCAAAAATAAACTAAGAGTTCCTGGTGCAAAAGGCTATATTTGAGCCCTTCAAAAATGGTATTTCATAGTCTTTATCAGGAGCATAAAACTAGCAACTCGAATGAGTTGGTTGATCTTAAACCCATGAAGTGACATAACTTGGCCTTGGCATCCCACCTGATGACAGAGGTTCAAATCTGAATCCTGATAAAACAAGAATTTAAATAACTGCTGCCTCATCTATTCATTAAAACCTTCTCCTGGAAAAAAAGAAAAACAAATAAAGGAAATTCAGATCATTGCCCACACAGTACCTAACGAAACAGCCCGAATATCCCCAGCCAATCAACACAATTAGTTGCCATACTGATTTGCTAATATATGACAGAGACTGGATCTTCATCTCTAAACCCACCCCCCAAAAGCCAAGAAACAAACCAAAAAACACTTCCAAAATTCCCTACCTGGAGTTCCTCAAAGGTGTCCCCTTCCCAACATTTGTCCAAAATTCTTAATTTGGCATAGAAGCATCATTATAGGTGCTCAGTATCATGTTTCCATTCCCTAGACACAATTCATTTCTCTTTCTGTCATGCAAAAGTTTTCAGAGTGAGGGGGACAAAGTCAAATCATAAAAGGTTTCTTCTCTATCTCCCTGGAGATTTATTGATAACGTCTACCCTCCAGTTCCAAAATTTTCGGGAGGGAAGGAGTGGATGATGAAAAATTAGTTAATGGTTATAATGTACATTATTCTATTTGGGTGATGGATATCCTAAAAGCCCTGACTTGACCACTACACAAACTATGCATTCAAGAAAATTGCATGTGTATCCCATAAATTTGTAAAGATAAAATACATAAATGAAATAAACAGGGAGAAAAGGTTATAAAAAATGAAGGTTTGGGAAAAGCAAAAGCTTGCAGATTTCTAATGGGGAAATGCTAGTTTTTTGTTTATTTATTTTGTTCTTTTTTGCTTCTCTTGAATCATAGATCTTATTTATGGCATGGAGTTGTCTACACAATGTGATTTTCAAAAACAAATTTCTAGAAAAGGGTTAGCCTGGGTTTTTAAGATTAGATTTCTTAAAGTTGATTTTTTAAGAGGAAATTTCATTTATATTATGAATATTATTCACATTTTACCAGTTTTAACTTTATCAGTTATTTTGGAAAACCATTACATATAAATATGGAGTTGAGAGTTACTGGGATGCTAAATTATAATCACATCTGTCTTAAAATGATTAATATAATTGTGGCATTTGGAGATAAAATGCAAGGGATACTAGAATGTAAATCAAATGAAATTTCTGCCTTTGTGTAATTGCATTATGTAAAAATGATTAGACATATTTTCCTCAAATTTAGAAAATATGTTTGGGATGTTCTGTTTTAAAATATTGGCTTGTGGCTTACATAATTGTCACTTTAAGAACTTTATCAGACATCTCAAAGCATAAGGCCATTTTCTTTTATAACAAATTAAACTGATATATAAGGAAAGACCTGTACACCTGCTAAATAGGATGCCTCATATGCATAAAGATGCTACTGAGAAAACACAAACTGGTTTCAGATAGGCCTGCCCAAGAAACACTCACAAGGGCAGACACCCTGATGACAGGCAGTTTGCTTTTCACATAGCAACAGTGGGTAGCAAGAGGTATATATTTATTATAAATGGTTTACTATTTTGTCAAACAGCTACAATCTAGGTTTCAGAAAGAAGATCCATAATTAAATTTAGATGAATGTTTGTTACAAAGAAATTATTAGAAAGCCACAGCTAGATTTGTTTTGTGGGTAAAAATGATCATGGATAGCTTCAGTGATTTCAGTAAGTAAAATGTTAGTCACATGTGGTAGAATACAGTGTTGAATATTCTCCCAAATAACCAGCAAGTGTTTTTTGCTGTTTGTTTTGCTTATTTTATTATATTATATTTTATTTTTTGACTCTTCCAGAAAGAGTCTGGCTCTGTCGCCCAGGCTGAAGTGTACTGGTGTGATTTGCAACCTCTGCCTCCCAGGCTCAAGCCGTCCTCCCACCTCAGCCTCCCAAGTAGCTGGGACTACAGGCACACGCCACCACACCTGGCTATTTTTTGTGTTTTTAGTAGAGATGGGGTTTCACCATGTTGCCCAGGCTGGTCTGAATTTCTGAGCTCAAGTGAACCACCTGCTTTGGTTTCCCAAAGTGCTGGGATTACAGGCATGAGCCACCGCATCCGGCCTTCAACAAGTGTTTTATAGTTTGATTCTGAAGGTATATTTTTTAAATTTTTAAATTAAAAAGAATAGTTTAAGTATAACTGAATGTAATTATTCAGACCACTATTCTTAAGTTATTGGTTAAAAGAAATTCTCAATTTCATGGAGAAAAATATACTGAGGGTACACCGTGTACTTCAAAATACTTCTCACATGTCTGTTTTTATAAGATGCACAAAACAGTAGTGTACTGAAATTTAGCTTAGGAGAGGAAATAAATTGCTACAATATAGTAAGTTTTTTTTTTCAGTATTTTGAAATTGGGATCCATCCATGAATGCTAAGCTTCAGAGTCAGACAGACTTGAATTTGATTGCCAGCTTGGATGCATTCTATCTATGTGGTATTGGAATTTATGCCTTATTTTATCAATGGAATGAATAGTCCCTACCTCCTGGGGTTATAAGCAGAACAACAATTGTTAAGGTAAAAAATGTAGCACAATGCCTGAAACGTCACACTCATTGAATATTAGTTGGTAGTAGTATTAATATAAAATTTAATTATAACACGTCATTTCTGCAGTGCCATATTTTCTAATTGAGTTTATTTTTTGGTTGGGTGGTTCAAAAAATAAAGCATTTTGTACATTTTCTGATCAAATATTGTTCTCAGTCATTCTTTAACTTCTTTTCCAATTTAATCCATTTAAGGAAAGTATATTATTTGCCACTATATTCTACAGGTTACCATACTTTTTTCTTCTTGTGATGTTAATTAAAAGTTTTTTTGAACCACACCCTCATCTAAAAATCAGCTTTCTTAATCCAGTGGTTCCCATACTATTTTCATCCTTACATTATTACTACATTTATTAAAACAAAAATCTGTCTTTCACTATTATATCCTGTCATACCATAGAAACTCCATGGGTTATTTTTTATGGCCCCAATGGGAGGATATTTCTGAGTTAAGGGACTTCAGATGTTAGGAAGTGGATCCAAGAAAGACTATATAAATATTTTTTGTGACATTAAAATAAAAAAAAATTGGTATACTACATTTATATATTTAATGTAATATTTCTGAATAGAGGAAGTTGTATCTTACTATTGTTAATGTATGGCATGATGGGAGGATATTTGGTTTAAATGTCTACCAATATCCCAAATCACCAAGTAAACTAAATGCCCCCAGTTCTTTCCTTAAAGCAATTAGAAACTTGAGTACATTTTGGCAATGAGCAAAATAGAAAGGAAACGTCAGTGTGGAAATGGGTCTGATGCCCATTTCCCAGTTAGGCAGGCAATGAGTAGTAAATTGTCAGTGAGCAAAGCAGTGGAAGATAAGGCTACAGAAGCAAGAAGAATCAAATTGCTAAGCGTCTGAAATCAAGACCAAATGGTTAGGCTTCCAGTCAATAGCTAGTCCATTCTTTCTGGCATTTTATCATTTAAACTGGTGGAGCAAAGAGATTAAAAATATAATCTACTGCCTCTTGGCATTAAGGGTTTGGCATATGTCATTTAGGACTGATGGAAGAGCAAAAGAAGATGCAAAAAAGCAACTTGCGGCACGGTGGCACTATGTCCCAGGAAAGAGGAATCATCTGTGCTTTGTGTAACTTTAGAAAACTGTCCATTATGGCATCACGTGGCACCTGTATCCTCAGAATTTGTCTTTTTATCTTTTTCTTTTAACTGCCCATTTTATTTTCTAATATTCTCCTCTGTAAGTCATGTTTACTATGCCTTTCTGTTTGGAAGGTTACATGGTACCTGAATTTCTTGTGAGATAAGCCAGTTTTATGTTTTTTGGGTAAATTATCACCTCTATAAGTTTCTTCAGCTGTAATTTGGATGAAAAATAGTTGTTTCAATGAGTTATGATAAAGATTTATAACTGAGATCAAGAAAGAGAATGTGTCTTGCACAGTCCCAGGCATAAAAGGCAGTGCCACCTTGACCCAAATGTCTTAGTGACAGAGGCTCTGTTCATCCACGGAGTTAAACGAATCCTCATGACTCTTGGAGATTTTTCTAATCTATTTTAGTATTTGCTCATTGTTTCAAAGGTAACTTTGATAAATTATTTTTATTACATGGTACAAAGGCTGATATAAGATTAAAATATTTTTCTTGCCTGATTGCTCTGGCTAGGACTTCCAATACTATGTTGAATAGGAGTGGTCATGAACACAATGAAGGGAACAACAGACACTATTTGAAGGTAGAGGGTGGGAGGAGGGAGAGGGGCAGAAAAAATTACTATTGGGTACTAGGCTTAATACCTGGGTAGTGAAATAATTCATACGACAAACTCCTGTGACACAAGATTACCTTTACAACAAACCTTCACATGTACCTCGAACCTAAAATTAAAGTTAAAAAGGAAAGCAAATAAATAAATAAATAAATAAAATCTTAATCTTCGTTTTTACAGCTATGTGATATTTTTATTTTATACCCTTAAGATAAGAGTGCTGGAATTTTTGAAAGATATCAAGAATCTGTTTTTATGCTCTTTCCCAAACTAAGGAAGGTATTTCCTTTAAGATTTCTATCACCAGAGAGCATCAATGTACTAATGTCCTATGTAATTATTTTTCCTCTCTAATCATGGAACTCTCTGGAGGCTTCCATTGTTGTGTCACTTGAAAATTCTACTCTGTACTTTCCCAAATGAGGAATAGAATGAGTTTTAAATTTTTTTCCAGAAGTTTTGGCATTCTCTGTCTTCATGTTTATTTGCAAGGGAGAAGCAAAATAAGTTCATTACTCTTTCTCTGTGTTGATAACCTCCTCTAGCATTGCTGAGTCTTCATCAATGAGTTGACAACACAGCATGGCAAACTGCACTGTTTTCCTCCTTAATTCAAGCCCTCTTCTAAAAATAAAAACTGTAAATTTGTATTTTGTTAGACCCAGTGGAATTTTTTTTATATTTTATTATTATTATACTTTAAGTTTTGGGGTACATGTGCACAACGTGCAGGTTTGTTACATATGTATACATGTGCCATGTTGGTGTGCTGCACCCATTAACTCATCATTTAGCATTAGGTGTATCTCCTAATGCTACCCGTCCCCCCTTCCCCCACCCCCCAACAGTCTCTGGTGTGTGATGTTCCCCTTCCTGTGTCCATGTGTTCTCATTGTTCAGTTCCCACCTATGAGTGAGAACATGTGGTGTTTGGTTTTTTGTCCTTGTGATAGTTTGCTGAGAATGACGGTTTCCAGTTTCGTCCATGTCCCTACAAAGGACATGAACTCATCAATTTTTATGGCTGCATAGTATTCCATGGTGTATATGTGCCACATTTTCTTCATCCATTCTATCGTTGTTGGACATTTAGGTTGGATCCAAGTATTTCCTATTGTGAATAGTGCCACTATAAACATACGTGTGCATGTGACTTTATAGCAGCACGATTTATAGTCCTTTGGGTATATACCCAATAATGGGATGACTGGGTTTAATGGTATTTCTAGTTCTATATCCCTGAGAAATCGCCACACTGACTTCCACGATGGTTGAAGTAGTTTACAGTCCCACCAACAGTGTAAAAGTGTTCCTATTTCTTCACATCCTCTCCAGCACCTGTTGTTTCCTGACTTTTTAATGATCACCATTCTAACTGGTGTGAGAAGGTATCTCATTATGGTTTTGATTTGCATTTCTCTGATGACCAGTGATGGTGAGCATTTTTTCATGTGTTCTTTTGCTGCATAAATGTCTTCTTTTGAGAAGTGTCTGTTCATGTCTTTTGCCCACTTTTTGATAGGGTTGTTTTTTTCTTGTAAATTTGTTTGAGTTCATTGTAGATTCTGGATATTAGCCCTTTGTCAGATGAGTAGGTTGTGAAAATTTTCTCCCATTTTGTAGGTTGCCTGTTCACTCTGATGGTAGTTTCTTTTGCTGTGCAGAGGCTCTTTAGTTTAATTAGATCCCATTTGTCAATTTTGGCTTTTGTTGCCATTGCTTTTGGTGTTGTAGACATGAAGTCCTTGCCCATGCCTATGTCCTGAATGGTAATGCCTACGTTTTCTTCTAGGGTTTTTATGGTTTTAGGTCTAACATGTAAGTCTTTGATCCATCTTGAATTAATTTTTGTATAAGGTGTAAGGAAGGGATCCAGTTTCAGCTTTCTACATATGGCTAGCCAGTTTTCCCAGCACCATTTATTAAATAGGGAATCCTTTCCCCATTACTTGTTTTTCTCAGGTTTGTCAAAGATCAGATAGTTGTAGATATGCAGCATTATTTCTGAGGGTTCTGTTCTGTTCCATTGATCTATATCTCTGTTTTGGTACCAGTACCATGCTGTTTTGGTTACTGTGGCCTTGTAGTATATTTGAAGTCAGGTAGCCTGTTGCCTCCAGCTTTGTTCTTTTGACTCAGGATTGACTTGGCACCACGGGCTCATTTTGGTTCCATATGAAATTTAAAGTAGTTTTTTCCAATTCTATGAAGAAAGTCACTGGTAGCTTGATGGGGATGGCATTGAATCTGTAAATTACCTTGGGCAGTATGGCCATTTTCGCAATATTGATTCTTCCTACCCATGAGCATGGAATGTTCTTCCATTTGTTTGTATCCTCTTTTATTTCATTGAGCAATGGTTTGTAGTTTTCCTTGAAGAGGTCCTTCACGTCCCTTGTAAGTTGGATTCCTAAGTATTTTATTCTCTTTGAAGCAATTGTGAATGGGAGTTCACTCATGATTTGGCTCTCTGTTTGTCTGTTATTGCTGTATAAGAATGCTTGTGATTTTTGTACATTGATTTTTGTATCCTGAGACTTTGCTGAAGTTGCTTATCAGCTTGAGGAGATTTTGGGCTGAGATGATGGGGTTTTCTAGATGTACAATCATCTCATCTGCAAACAAGGACAATTTGACTTCCTTTTTCCTAATTGAATACCCTTTATTTCCTTCTGCTGCTTGATTGCCCTGGCCAGAAATTCCAATACTATGTTTAGTACGAGTGGTGAGAGAGGGCATCCCTGTCTTGTGCCCATTTTCAAAGGGAATGCTTCCAGTTTTTGCCCATTCAGTATGATATTGGCTGTGGGTTTGTCATAGATAGCTCTTATTATTTTGAGATACATCCCATCCATACCTAATTTATTGAGAGCTTTTAGCATGAAGGGTTGTTGAATTTTGTCAAAGGTCTTTTCTGCATCTCTTGAGATAATCATGTGGTTTTTGTCTTTGGTTCTGTTTATATGTTGGATTACATTTATTGATTTGTGTATGTTGAACCAGCCTTGCATCCCGGGGTTGAAGCCCACTTGATCATGGTGGATGAGCCTTTTGATGTGCTGCTGGATTCAGTTTGCTAGTATTTTCTTGAGGATTTTTGCATTGATGTTCATCAGGGATATTGGTCTAAAATTCTCTTTTTTGGTTGTGTCTCTGCCAGGCTTTGGTATCAGGATGATGCTGGCTTCGTAAAATGAGTTAGGGAGGATTCCCTCTTTTTCTATTGATTGGAATAGTTTCAGAAGGAATGCTACCAGCTCCTCTTTGTACCTCTGGGAGAATTCGGCTGTGAATCCATCTGGTCCTCGACTTTTTGGTTTGTAAGCTATTGATTATTGCCTCAATTTCAGAGCCTGTTATTGGTCTATTCAGAGATTCAACTTCTCGTCCCTTGTAAGTTGGATTCCTAGGTATTTTATTCTCTTTGAAGCAATTGTAAATGGGAGTTCACTCCTGATTTGGCTCTCTGTTTGTCTGTTATTGGTATATAAGAATGCTTGTGATTTTTGTACATTGATTTTGTATCCTGAGACTTTGCTGAAGTTGCTTATCAGCTTAAGGAGATTATGGGCTGAGACAATGCAGTTTTCTAGATATACAATCATGTCATCGGCAAACAGGGACATGATTGGACCTCTTCAAGGAGAACTACACTGCTCAATGAAATAAAAGAGGATACAAACAGATGGAAGAACATTCCATGCTCATGGGTAGGAAGAATCAATATCGTGAAAATGGCCATACTGCCCAAAGTAATTTATAGATTCAATGCCATCCCCATCAAGCTACCAATGACTTTCTTCACAGAATTGGAAAAAACTACTTTAAAGTTCATATGGCACCAAAAAAGAGCCTGCATCGCCAAGTCAATCCTAAGCCAAAAGAACAAAGCTGGAGGCATCATGCTACCTGACTTCAAACTATACTACAAGGCTACAGTAACCAAAACAGCATAGTACTGGTACCAAAACAGATATATAGATCAATGGAACAGAACAGAGCCCTCAGAAATAACGCTGCTTATCTACAACTATCTGATCTTTGACAAACCTGAGAAAAACAAGCAATGGGGAAAGGATTCCCTATTTAATAAATGGTGCTGGGAAAACTGGCTAGCCATATGTAGAAAGCTGAAACTGGATCCCTTCCTTACACCTTATACAAAAATTAATTCAAGATGGTTTAAAGACTTAAACATTAGACCTAAAACCATAAAAACCCTAGAAGAAAACGTAGGCATTACCATTCAGGACATAGGCATGGGCAAGGACTTCATGTCTACAACACCAAAAGCAATGGCAACAAAAGCCAAAATTGACAAATGGGATCTAATTAAACTAAAGAGCTTCTGCACAGCAAAAGAAACTACCATCAGAGTGAACAGGCAACCTACAAAATGGGAGAAAATTTTTGCAACCTACTCTTCTGACAAAGGGCTAATATCCAGAATCTACAATGAACTCAAAACAAATTTACAAGAAAAAAACAAACAACCCCATCAAAAAGTGGGCAAAGGATATGAACAGACACTTCTCAAAAGAAGACATTTATGCAGCCAAAAAAACACATGAAAAAATGCTCATCATCACTGGCCATCAGAGAAATGCAAATCAAAACCACAATGAGATACCATCTCACACCAGTTAGAATGGCGATCATTAAAAAGTCAGGAAACAACAGGTGCTGGAGAGGATGTGGAGATATAGGAACACTTTTACACTGTTGGTGGGACTGTAAACTACTTCAACCATTGTGGAAGTCAGTGTGGCGATTCCTCAGGGATCTAGAACTAGAAATACCATTTGACCCAGCCATCCCATTACTGGGTATATACCCAAAGGACTATAAATCATGCTGCTATAAAGACACATGCACACGTATGTTTATTGTGGCACTATTCACAATAGCAAAGACTTGGAACCAACCCAAATATCAAACAATGATAGACTGGATGAAGAAAATGTGGCACATATACACCACGGAATACTATGCAGACATAAAAAATGATGAGTTCAGGTCCTTTGTAGGGACATGGATGAAATTGGAAATCATCATTCTCAGTAAACTATCGCAAGAACAAAAAACCAAACACCGCATATTCTCACTCATAGGTGGGAATTGAACAATTAGAAGACATGGACACAGGAAGGGGAACATCACACTCTGGGGACTGTTGTGGAGTTGGGGTAGGGGGTAGGGATAGCTTTAGGAGATATACCTAATACTAGATGATGAGTTAATGGGTTCAGCACACCAGCGTGGCACATGTATACATATGTAACTAATGTGCACATTGTGCACATGTACCCTAAAACTTAAAGTATAATAAAATAAAATAAAATAAAATAAAAGAGAATCAACTTCTTCCTGGTTTAGTCTTGAGAGGATGTATGTGTCAAGGAATTTATCCATTTCTTCTAGATTTTCTTGTTTATTTGTGTATAAGTGTTTATAGTATTCTCTGATGGTAGTTTGTATTTCTGTGGGATCGGTGGTGATATCCCCTTTGTCATTTTTTATTGTGTCTATTTTATTCTTTTCTTCTTTATTGGTCTTGCTAGCGGTCTATCAATTTTGTTGATCTTTTCAAAAAAGCAGCTCCTGGATTCATTAATTTTTTGAAGGGTTTTTTGTGTCTCTATTTCCTTCAGTTCTGCTCTGATCTTAGTTATTTCTTGCCTTCTGCTAGCTTTTGAATGTGTTTGCTCTTGCTTTTCTAGTTCCTTTAATTGTGATGTTAGGGTGTCAATTTTAGATCTTTCCTGCTTTCTCTTGTGGACATTTCGTGCTATAAATTTCCCTCTACACAATGCTTTCAATGTGTTCAATGTGTTCAATGTTGTGTCTTTGTTCTCGTCAGTTTCAAAGAACATCTTTATGTCTGCCTTCATTTCATTATTTACCCAGTAGTCATTCAGGAGCAGGTTGTTCAGTTTCCATGTGGTTGAGCAGTTTTGAGTGAGTTCTAGTTTGATTGCACTGTGGTCTGAGATACAGTTTGTTATAATTTCTTTTCTTTTACATTTGCTGAAGAGTGCTTTACTTCCCACTATGTGGTCAATTTTGGAGTAGGTGTGGTGTGGTGCTGAAAAGAATGTATATTCTGTTGATTTGGGGTGGAGAGTTCTGTAGATTTCTATTAGGTCCGCTCGGTGCAGATCTGAGTCTAATTCCTGGTTATCCTTGTTAACTTTCTGTTCCGTTGATCTGTCTAATGTTGACAGTGGGGTGTTAAAGTCTCTCATTATTATTGTGTGTGAGTCTAAGTCTCTTTGTAGGTCACTAAAGACTTGCTTTATGAATCTGGGTGCTCCTGTATTGGGTGCATATATATTTAGGATAGTTAGCTCTTCTTGTGGAATTGATCCCTTTACCATTATGTAATGGCCTTCTTTGTCTCTTTTGATCTTTGGTGGTTTAAAGTCTGTTTTATCAGAGACTAGGATTGCAACTCCTGCCTTTTTTTGTCTTCCATTTGCTTGGTAGATCTTCCTCCATCCCTTTATTTTGAGCCTATGTGTGTCTCTGCACGTGAGATGGGTTTCCTGAGTACAGCACACTGATGAGTCTTGACTCTTTATCCAATTTGCCAGTCTGTGTCTTTTAATTGGAGCATTTAGCCCATTTACATTTAAAGTTAATATTGTTATGTGTGAATTTGATCCTGTCATTATGATGTTAGCTGGTTATTTTGCTCATTAGTTGATGCACTTTCTTCCTAGCCTTGATGGTCTTTACGATTTGGCATGTTTTTGCAGTGGCTGGTACCAGTTGTTCCTTTCCATGTTTAGTGCTTCCTTCAGGAGTTCTTTTAGGGCAGGCCTGGTGGTGACAAAATCTCTCAGCATTTGCTTCTCTGTAAAGTATTTTATTTCTCCTTCACTTATGAAGCTTAGTTTGGCTGGATATGAAAATCTGGGTTGAAAATTCTTTTCTTTAAGAATGTTGAATATTGGCCCCCACTCTCTTCTGGCTTGTAGAGTTTCTGCCAAGAGATCCGCTGTTAGTCTGATGGGCTTCCCTTTGTGGGTAACCTGACCTTTCTCTCTGGCTGCCCTTAACATTTTTTCCTTCATTTCAACTTTCGTGAACCTGACAATTATGTGTCTTGGAGTTGCTCTTCTCGAGGAGTATCTTTGTGGCGTTCTCTGTATTTCCTGAATTTGAATGTTGGCCTGCCTTGCTAGATTGGGGAAGTTCTCCTGGATAATATCCTGCAGAGTGGTTTCCAACTTGGTTCCATTCTCCCTGTCACTTTCAGGTACACCAATCAGATGTAGATTTGGTCTTTTCACATAGTCCCATATTTCTTGGAGGCTTTGTTCATTTCTTTTTATTCTTTTTCCCCTAAACTTCTCTTCTCACTTCATTTCATTCATTTCGTCTTCCATCACTGATACCCTTTCTTCCAGTTGATCGCATCGTCTACTGAGGCTTCTGCATTCGTCACATAGCTCTCGTGCCTTGGTTTTCAGCTCCATCAGGTCCTTTAAGTACTTCTCTGCATTGGTTATTCTACTTATCCATTCGTCTAATTTTTTTTCAAAGCTTTTAACTTCTTTGCCGTTGGTTTGAATTTCCTCCTGTAGCTCGGAGTAGTTTGATCATCTAAAGCCTTCTTCTCTCAACTCGGCAAAGTCATTCCCCATCCAGCTTTGTTCCATTGCTGGTGAAGAGCTGCCTTCCTTTGGAGGAGGAGAGGCACTCTGATTTTTAGAGTTTCCAGTTTTTCTGCTCTGTTTTTTTCCCATCTTTGTGGTTTTATCTACCTTTGGTCTTTGATGATAGTGACGTACAGATGGGTTTTGGGTGTGGATGTCCTTTCTGTTTGTTAGTTTTCCTTCTAACAGACAGGACCCTCAGCTGCAGGTCTGTTGGAGTTTGCCAGAGGTCCACTCCAGACCCTGTTTGCCTGGGTATCAGCAGCGGTGGCTGCAGAACAGCTGATATTGGTGAACCGCAGATGCTGCTGCCTGATCGTTCCTCTGGAAGTTTTGTCTCAGAGGAGTACACAGCCGTGTGAGGTGTCAGTCCACCCCTACTGGGGGGTGCCTCCCAGTTAGGCTACTTGGGGGTCAGGGACCCACTTGAGGAGTCAGTCTGCCCATTCTCAGATCTCAAGCTGCGTGCTGGGAGAACCACTACTCTCTTCAAAGCTGTCAGAGAGGGACATTTAAGTCTGCAGAGGTTACTGCTGTCTTTTTGTTTGTCTGTGCCCTGCCCCCAGAGGTGGAGCCTACAGAGGCAGGCAGGCCTCCTTGAACTGTGGTGGGCTCCACCCAGTTCCAGCTTCCTGGCCGCTTTGTTTACCTAATCAAACAAGTAACTCGGCAATGGCGGGCGCCGCCCCCCCAGCCTCGCTGCCGCCTTGCAGTTTGATCTTGGACTGCTGTGCTAGCAATGAGCGAGACTCCATGGGAGTAGGACCCTCCAAGCCAGTAGGACCCTCTGAGCCATGTGCAGGATATAATCTCCTGGTGTGCCGTTTTTTAAGCCCTTTGGAAAAGCGCAGTATTAGGGTGGGAGTGACCCGATTTTCCAGGTGCCATCTGTCACTGCTTTCTTTGACTAGGAAAGGGAATTCCCTGACCCCTTGTGCTTTCCAGGTGAGGTGATGCCTCGTCCTGCTTCAGCTCGTGCACAGTGCGCTGCACCCACTGTCCTGTACCTACTGTCTGGCACTCTCCAGTGAGATGAACCCGGTACCTCAGTTGGAAATGCCGAAATCACCCGTGTTCTGTGTTGCTCATGCTGGGCTCCGTAGACCGGAGCTGTTCCTATTTGGCCATCTTGGCTCCTCCCTCCCAGTGGAATTTTTTAATCATAAATATTTTAGGTGACTTTCATTTAACGTCAGCCTAAAATGCAACATATTAAACTGTAAAAATGGTTTAAAAGACCATTCTCTTTATCTGAGCATTTTAATTTCATTATAAATAAAATATACTAAAGACATTGAATAAAGGCTGGAAATCAAAAAGGACTGGCAATATAATTCTTTCACATGCAGAGGAAAATGATACAGATATACTTTGAATCAATAAGAAGGTAGGGGGAGGAGACAAAACCAAGTGACTGAATAGAACACTCCACCAATTGTTCTCTATGCAGGAACACCAAATTGAACAACTGTTTACACAAAAAAGCACTTTTATAAGACCAAAAAATCAGGTAAATGATCGGAGTTCCTTGTTGCAACATCAAATCAAGGGCAGTGAAAAGGGTAGGAAAGACTGTCTTGAATAGTTGACACTACTCCTACCCCAAACCCTGGCAACAGCCATGTGGTGGAGCTAAAAAAATGCAATTGACACACTGAAAAATGCATCAGAGTCTCCTAGCAGCATAACTGACCAAGCAGAAGAAAGAATTAGTGAACCTGAAGACAGACTATTTTAAAATACACAATCAGGGAGACAGGAGAAAAAGGAATAAAAAAGAGTGAAGCATACATACAAGATCTAGAAAATAGCCACAAAAATGCAAATCTAAGAGATATTGGCCTTTAAAATGAGGTTGAGAAAGGGATGGGTGTAGTAAGTATATTCAAAGGGATAATAACAGAGAATTTCTAAACATGGAGAAATATATCAATATTTAAGGACAAGAAGGTGACAGAACACCAGGCAGATATAACCCAAAGGAGGCTATCTCAAGACACTTAAAAATCAAACTCCCAAAGATCAAGGATAAAGAAAGATCCTAAGCACTGAGAGAAAATACAGACACAACATGCAAAGGATCTCCAATACGTCTGGCTTTTGACATAAGGTTTCCACTGGACTTTTCAGTGGAAACCTTACAGGCCAGGAGAAAGTAGCATGACATATTTAAAGTACTGAAGGAAGAATACTTTTATCCTAGAATAGGATAGCCAGTAAAAATATGCTTCAAACAAGAAGGAAAAATAAAGACTTTTCCAGACCTGGCCTGTAAGAAATGCTAAAGGAAGTTCTTCAATCTGAAAGAAAAGGACTTTACCAATAAAAACCCATCTGAAGATACAAAACTCTTGGGTAATAGTAAGTACACAGAAAAACACAGAATATTATAACATCATAAGTGTGGTGTATAAATAATTCATATCTTGAATAGAAAGATTAAAAGGTGAACCTATCAAAAATAAAAACAACTTCTCAAGACACAGACAGTACAATAAGATATAAATGGAAACAATAAAAACTTTAAAAGTAGGGGATAAAATTAAACTGTAGAGTTATTATTAGTTTTCTCTTTGCTTGTTTGTTTATGAAATCAGTGTTAAGTTGTCATCAGTTTAAAATAATTGGTTATAAGATGTTATTCACAAGCCTCATGGTAACCTCAGTGGAAAAGCATATAGCAGATACACAAAAAATAAAAAGCAAGAAATTAAAATATACTACCAGAGAAAATCACCTTCACAAAAACAAAGGAAGGAGGGAAAATAGGAAGGTGGGTGAAAGGGAGGGAGGAAAAGATGACAAAAAAAGAAAACCAAAAACAAATTAGGAGTAAATCCTTACTTATCAATAATAATATTGAATGTAAATACACTAAACTCTAATCAAAAGACATAGAGTGGCAGAATGGATTAAATAAAAACAAGACCAAATGATATGTTGCCTACATGAAACACACTTTAACTATGAAGACACACACAGACTGAAAATAAAGGGATAGAAAAAAGTATTCTATGCAAATGGAATCCAAAAAAGAGGAGGAGTAGCTAGCTATACTAATAGCTAAATGAAATAGATTTCAAGACAATAACTATAAAAGACAAAGGAGATCATTATGTAATGATAAAGTGGTCAACTCATCAATAGTATATAACAATTATAAATATATATGTACCCAACATTGGAGCACCCAGATATATAAAGAAATACTATGAGAACTAAAGAGAGTGATAGACTCCAAAACAATAATAGCTACAGAATTCAACACCCTATTTTCAGCATTGGACAGATCATTCAGACAGAAAATCAGTAAAGAAACAATGGACTTAATCTGCACCATAGACCCAATAGCCCTAATAGGTATTTACAGAACATTTCATTCAATGGCTGCAGGATACACATTCTTCTCCTCAGCACATTGATTAAAGACAGGCCATATATTAGGACACAAAACAAGTTTTAAAAATTTCAAATAAAATTAAATCATTCTAGTATCATCTCTGACCGCAATGTAATAAAACTAAAAATTGGTAACAAGAGGAACTTTTAAAACTATACATCCACATGGAAATTAAACAATATACTTCTAAATGACCGGTGGTTCAATGAAGAAATTAGGAAGAAAATTTAAAAATTTCTCAAAACAAATGAAAATGGAAATATAACATACCAAAACCTATGAGATACAGCAAAAGAAGTACTAAGAGGGAAGTTCATAGCTATATATGCCTACATCAAAAAAGTAGAAAAACTTCAAATAAGCACCCTCACAATGCATCTTAAAGAACTAAAAAAGTAAGAGCAAACCAAACCAAAATTAGTAGAAGAAATAATAAAGATCAGAGGAGAAATAAATGAAATTTAAACAAAAAAATACAAAATATCAATGAAACAAAAATGTGGTTTTTTGGAAAAGATAAAATTGGCAAACCTTTACCAAGACTAAGTAAAAAGAGAGAAGACCCAAATAAATAAAATCAGAGGTGAAAAAGGACACATTACAACTGACACAGCAGAAATTCAAAGAATTATTAGAAACTACTATGAGCAACTATATGTGAATTAATTGAAAAACCTAGAAGAAACGTATAAATTACTGGACATAAAAACCTACCGAGATTGAATCATGAAGAAATTTAAAATTTGACCAGACCAATAACCAGTAATGAGATTGAAGCTATAATGAAAAGTCTTCCAGCAAAAAAAAAGCCTGAACACGGTGGCTTCACTGCTGAATTTTACCAAACATTTAAAGAAGAACTAACACCAATCCTCTCAAATTATTCAGAAAAATAGAGGACGGAAGACTTCCAAATTCATCCTATGAGGCAAGTATTACCCTGATACTAAAACTAGACAAAGGAATATCTAAAAAAAGAAAACTACAGGCCAATAAACCTGATGAACATTGCTGCAAATATCCCCAATAAAATACTAGCAAACTGAATTCAAAGACATACTAAAAAGATCATTCATCATGACTCAGTGGGATTGCAAAGATGATTCAACATATGCAAATCAATCAATGTGATACATTATGTGAACAGAATGAAGGACAAAAACTATATGATCTTTTCAAATGATGCTGAAAAAGCATTTGATAAAATTCAACAATGCTTTATGATTTAAAAAAACCCTCAAAAAAAGTGGGTATAGAAGGAACATACCTCAACATGATAAAGGCCATATATAACAGACCCACAGCTAGTATCATTCTGAACAGGGAAAAACTAACAGTCTTTTCTCTAAGATCCATATCCCATAAATATACATGCCTATTATGTACCCATAAAAATTAAAAATAAAAAAAGAATGTAGGATCCTTTATTTATTTACTTATTTACTTATTTATTTTTTATTGTTTATTTTTTACCAGGTCTTGCTTTGTTGCCCACGTTGGAGTGCAGTGACACAATCAGAGCTCATTGTAACCTCAAACTCCTGGGCTCAAGCTATCCTCCCACCTGTCTCCTGAGTAGCTAGTACTAGAGGTATACGTCACCATATTCAGCTAATTTTAACTTTTTTTGTGTTGAGCTAGTCTCCCTATTTTGCCCAGGCTGGTCTCAAAGTCCTGGCCTCAAACAATCCTACAACCTCAGCCTTCCAAAATGCTGGGATTATAGAAATGCTGGGATTATAGAAATGCTACCATGCCTGGCCAGTTACTTCTAAATTCCCTTTAAGTTGAACCACATTTTAAAACCAATGAGTTCACCATTTTAAATTCTCTGTACCCTTCTGTTGACAACTGAGAAGTGACTTTCGTAATTTGAAGTTCGATTGAAGAATAGTTCTATTATTATTAATCTTGATTTCAATGTAAATGTAATCTAATTTTTTGAAAATTTAATTTAACTATTAAGTTTTTGATTTTTTTTAAAAAGTACAACAATGCACACCTGAAATGTGACCTACTAACATGAACCAACAGATAGTCTTTATCAGCTTCTACACAGCAAAAGAAACTATCATCAGAGTGAACAGACAACCTACAGAAAGGAAGAACAGTTTTGCAATCTATCTATCTGTCAAAGGTCTAATATCCAGAATCTACAAGGAACTTAAACAAATTTACAAGAAAAAAAACAAACAACTCTATTGAAAAGTGTGCAAAGGACATGAATACACACTTCTCAAAAGAAGACATATATACAGCAAACAAACATATGAAAAAAAGCTCGATATCACTGATCATTAGAGAAATGCAAATCGAAACCACGATGAGATACCATCTCATACAAGTCAGAATGGCAATTATTAAAATGTCAAGAAACAACAGATGCTGGCAAGGTTGTGGATAAATAGGAATGCTTTTACACTATTGGTGGAAATGTAAATTATTAAAAGTAATAGTAAAACTGTCATTATTTTGCACCAACCTAATAGTTCAACCATTGTGGAAGACAGTGTGATGATTCCTCAGATACCTAGAACTAGAAAATACCATTTTACCCAGCAATCCCATTACTGGGTATATACCCAAAGGAATATAATCGTTCTATTATAAAGTTGCATATATACATATGTTCACTGCAACACTATTCACAATAGCAAGGATATGGAATCAACCCAAATGCCCATCAATGATAGACTGTATAAAGAAAACATGGTACATATACACCACAGAATACTATGCACTCCTAAAAAGGAATGAGCTCATGTTTTTGCAGGGACATGGATGGAGCTGGAAGCCATTGTCTTCAGCAAATTAACACAGGAACAGAAAACCACCAAACACCACATGTTCTCACTTGTAAGTGGGAACTGAACAATGAGAACACATGGACACAGGGAGGGGAAGAACACACACTGGAAACTGTCAAGGGGAGGGTAGGGGGTGGGAAAGCATCAGGATAAACAGCTAATGCATGCGGGGCTTAATAACTAGGTGATGGGTGTTGATAGGTGCAGCAAACCACCATGGCACACATTTGCCTATGTAACAAACCTGCACGTCCTGCACATGGATCCTGGAACTTAAAATAAAATAAAATAAATTTTTTTATAAAAATAGTTTTTATCAGCCCAGTTGTGCAGAGAAATTCACAATTGGTCATTGTGGAAGGACAATCATAAAATGACTTAAGGATTCCACATAAGTCTAAAGTGGCAAGGTGTCACCTCTAATTTTAAAAACTTGCAGTTCTCTATTATTATTGGTATTCCTCATGTACTTTCATTGTATAAAATATGATACCTGTAAAGGTTTTATTCTGGACACTTGCCCATTTTCAACTCTAAAAGGGCTCCTAATGATCTCATATTTGATTCCTAATGCTCTCCATTCGTTTTAGAACTTGGTCGGAAATTCACATTTACTGCTGCTCAGCACAAAGTCTCAGGAACATTTGGCCTCTCATTTTAGCCCTGCCCCTTCCATCTATGTTCAGATGATGTTCCAAATTCTTCACAATAAAATCTGAGAAGCATACGTATACTGCCTCCACAGTATACAAGTTAGAGTTACAACAGCATTGGGAATCAGAATCCTAATGTATAAACATTTGTTTATCCAATTATTTATTTATTCCATGATATTTATAAAGCCCGTTTCAAATCCCCAAGGTGGAAGAACACTCTAGTGATCAAACAAACACCCTTACTGTCGGAGTCTCCAAGACTCTTTTCCACTCCCCACGTCTAGCAGATTTCTTTGGTTTCTCTGCTCAGCTCCTGGGCTTTCCCTTGTTCTAACTGAGATCACATATGATGGGAATTGGGCAATTGGAAGGAGGTTATATTAACATAGGTTAGCAAGATCATGAAGCTCATTGAAGAATAGACAGAATAGATCCCAAAGGCAGAACAGGGAGTGAGGAAGTGAAAGTAAAAGCCAAGAAACAGGCAGAAGAACTGCCTTCTCTCTACCCCTCATTCCTGCTGCTGGCTTGATTGAGTCGGGGGAAGGCAAAAAAAAAGCAACGGCTTTGAGAAAGAGATGGGTAAATAAAATTTCAATAGAACCTTCTGGTTTCTGAAATAGCCTTTGTTGCAACCTGTTTGAGAGACTTTCAATGCTGATTGTTTTTCTGGGATATTGACATTGAATGTGAGCTTCTATATGTGTGAAACCATGCCGTTACTGACTGTCTTAGCTCATTTGTGTTGCTAAGGTTATTTATAAAGGAAAAGTTATTTGGTTGACAATTCTGCTGGCTAGAAAACTGAGCATCTGGTGAAAGCCTCAGGCTGCTTCCAATCACGGTACAAGGTGTAGAGTAGCCAGCATGTGCAGAGATGACTTGGAAAGACAGATAGACAAGAGAGAGGAGAGGGAGGTGCAAGATTCAAACAACTAGCTCTAGTGGGAACTTATAGAGCAAGAACTCACTCATTACCACGAGCACAGCACCAAGCCATTCATGAGGAATCTGCCCCCATGACTCAAACACCTCCCATTAGACCCTATCTCCAACATTGTGGATGAAATTTTAACATGTGTTTCGAAGGCTCAAATATCCAAACTATATTACTGGCTACAATCCATCCCTGTTCTGTTTGGGATATGCAAGTCCTCAGTAGACTCTTCCCAGGTCAAAAAACTGGGGAGGAAAAAGTATCCAGTTTATCCAGACTCATATCTGAGAATCAATTATGGAAAAGTTGTGCAGGATTTTATCTTTCTAGGGGATTTCCCCAAATTCTCAATTTATTTTATTCTCATAGAATACTGTGTCCTTGACTTATGCTAAGCTGGTCATTGAAGTGTATGAAATATAACCAAATAAGAATAATCCCTTTTGCTAGTTTAAATCATTTTGTATTAGTATCTAAATATTGCTCATTTGCAATGAAAAACACCAAGAATTTTCATTCTTATTACCCTTTAGACCAAGGGAAATACATAATATTTTGATTTATATTTTCATTATTTATTATAGCTGAACTGATATTTTTGTTAGTAATAACAGATATTACAGAAAATGATTTTTTAAACCTGAAAAGAATGAATTAGATCCTATGCAATTTTACGGTGTCAGGGCATCCTAATTTAGTTGTGCAAATTAACTCAAAATCTTCTCCACCACCCCAAATACAATGTTTGTATTAGTATCACCATTTTACAAAATGGAATAGTGGTAAAGCCAAAATTCAAATAAGGGTTAATCTGATCTCAAATTCTGTAGTTCTCTACTGCATCATATTATAATGGCAGTTCCATTTAGTACATATGTATATATTTGAAATAATTTCCATTAGTAGGTTTAAAGAACCTGTGCTAGGTGATATTTATTTGACATTTATGGTGTTGGTCCTCAGAAAAAATAGTACCAGATACCTTAATGCAATGATCTGCAATTCCATTTTGTAAATATTCAGGAACATATTAGTTGGTGTGTCTAAATCTCCTAGATTAAAATGAACCATTAGAATTTTATAAGCTGATATCACCAGCATATTATTATAATAGAAAATATAAACAAATACTGTGTGTTGCTGGTACAAAATCAATAGGTGTTTATAGGAATACCTTAGCAGACATGTACTTGTTTTCTAAAACATTTACATGTTAGTCAAAAGTGTCAGTTAAATTCAAACCCAGACACCTGATTAATTCCAAAAGAGGCCAGACTGTATGACTGACAACACCTTTCCTTGATCTGCATCCTGATTTGCATCAGACAGGCATTACATCTCTTCACTGACCACACATTTTAAGCTTAAAGACAATTTCTCTGGAAAACCTTACCTAAAAGACAACAGAAATAGCTATTCCCTATAGCATATGAAGCTCATCCACGAAAATGTAGCTGGGGAAGATATTCGGAAGGCAAAGCTGCTGCAAATTTCATTTTCAATACCTTTCAACCCTATTTGCCTGAATCTTACCACTAAAAATAGCTTTATACTAATAATAAACAACATGTAATACAAAAAGCAGTAATCTTTTCCTCTCAACTATAGAAGAAAATTTCAAAACTGTTCAAGCATTTCTTCATGACATTTCCAAATGTGTCATTGAATAAACCTATTTGTATTATGCCTGCCAACATATTTAAATTGTATGCTTAATGTGAAGGTGCTTTGCCAAATTATTGGTTTTCTATCAATTTCTGTGATTCGGTGTTTTCATTTCAAATAAGCTAAAACCAGGAATGTCATAAAATATTTCTAAGATGTATAATTTTCTATTCCATTGCTAATGGCTTTTCTTTTTTTTTCTTTTTTTCCTTTTTTCTGCTTGAGACAGGTTCTCACTCTGTTGCCCAGGCTGGAGTGCATTGTCATGATCCAGGCTCACTGCAGCCTCCACCTCCCTAGGTTTGGGTGATCCTCCCACCAGCCTCCCAAGTAGCTGGGACTACAGGCACATGCCACCACACCCAGCTAGTTTTTGTATTTTTTGTAGAGTTGAGGTTTTGTCATGTTGCCCAGGCTGAAGTTGAACTCCTGTGCTCAAGCGATCCACCTGCCTTGGCCTCCCAAAGTGCTGGGATTGCAGGCATGAGCCACTGCATCCAGCCCAGTAATGGCTTTTCTTTTAGAAACCATCCTCTCTAAAGCTCTAATTGGTTTACTAGTATCAATAACAATTTGGGGCCTTGTTCTTTTGTTTCTATACTTGTTTGCAGACCTTCTCTATGAGAACAATACAAATGTTTTTAGAAAAACAATCACAAATTTATTGAGTTTATCTTCCCTAAAATGTCTTCCGGATGTTTAGCACAATGTATAATTGAATTACCCCTTAAAAATAATACAGCATTCATTTTAAATAACTCATTTTTTTAGATGAGGTTCAACATTAAGGAAAAAGTATTTAATGTAAATGCATGTTATTTTTTTTCAATATTATTTTGTGAGTAAGCAAACAAATACAAGAAAGCTGAATTTGTTTACAGTAAATCAAGTTTTCCATTTAGTGCCTGCCCAAAGGCTCAGACCTTTAAGAAAGTCTGGCCAGGCTTAAAACACAGCATGTTCTGGGCAAAGACAAAAGTTAATTAAAGCTGAAAGAAACAATCCTTTTCACACATTCTGGCTCCTTTAGGCTGCTAGTGTTCATTTAATTTTTGTTGATTAGCCAAATCCTACTACTATTATGATGCTCATCATTGTATCAGAGGGCCTTCCTGTTTAGCATGACTTGAGGCTGAATCGTGCTAACAAGGGAAATGAAAGAGATCAAACATTTTCCCAAATAGTTTAGTGTTTAGCTAAGGAATAAGTTACCTATTGGAAGCATATGGCTTAGTGAGTTTGACCGCATCTTCAAAGAGAGCTGGTTAACTTTGGGGGTACCCCTGAAACCTAACAGATTAAACAAAATTCCTATATCTAAAAAAAAAACCCTTCAAAAATAATTAAAATCAGTAAGTCTATTTTAATAGTATCTTCATAATGTTTTAAATTATGAGATGTAATAAAGTTTAAATTACTATTAAAACTGCTTTCTTAAATACATTTAGAAATGTATTGTACAAAGGGAATGGGCATTGCATTTTAACTTTCAAGTTTTTAAGAAGCACATAAAGGATCACAAAAAATAGACAAAAATGCAAAACCATAAATACGACTATATGGAAATATAAATACCTTTGGTGTACGTTGTTAGATGAGTCATGGATCAGTATCTCTCATAGTTACCAATATTGCTAACCTGTATATACAAGCAGATGTCTAGTTAAGAATGTTTTATTTTCTCTTTTGAACAAAGAAATAGTGACTATTCATTTATGCTTTTTTCCATTAAATGCTTTAAAAGGCTTGAAGTCCTTTGAAAATCAAACATTTTATATGTAAAATCATTGTTTCCATTAATATTTTAGATGGCTGCTAAGAGAACACTATGCCACATAAATTCTTTGTAATTTTATGGTATCATGGCACATTATAGTATTGTCCATGTGTTTCCACCATTTACCATAAAAATGAGAAATTTTATTTGCAGTGTGGTAAATATGGCACATTATTTGTGAACCAACTGAATGGCTTCAAGCATCTGTGAGAGTATGTTGATTCAATAATGTACATGTCTCCTATACCCTAAATATATATTTACATAACAATTGCTATTACAGCAATCATTTAGTTAGAGCTGGTATTATTATTTTCGTTTTATAGATATGAAAACCAAACCATAGGTTGATTAGGATTTTGCTTAAAATCATACAGCATGAGTATATTTTATGTTGGACTCTATTTTTGGAAAAGTTATGTACTCTTGTGGGCCATATTTGGTACAATTATAAAATGAGGTTGGGGGACAGAGTCTAACTTTTCATGTTTTTAAGTTATGTAAACTACCAAGTACAACACTGAACAAATCCCAACTTGAAGTTTTGTTTATTCAAATTCCACAAACATTTACTAAGTACTTAATGCATATAAAATACTGTATAAGCCATGGGGACAGAAATAAAGATGGAAATTGACAAAGAACCTATTTGTCAAACATTCATGATCTAGTGGAAGATAGGGATACAAAGCTATACTTACAAGCAGAATAAAGGTTAGATGGCACGTGCTTTTGGTCATATGTAGTTAACATGAACTAGACTTACGTTTTGACCTAAAACAACAAAAAACATACAAAATATATGAAACAAGTGTTTCATGATATTGGACATCTGATAGGGAAGAACAGTGATCTCTGAGAGACAGGAAACAAATAAGATAAGCCCTACAATTTCCCCAGTTTGTGCTTTTCAGAAAGTTTCCAGTCTATGACATAGTGAGGAGGAACCCAGGTAAAGCTTGGGAAACTTCCTGAATTGAGAACAGAGAAGTGAGAGTTCAAGGAAACCAAGGCAGCTAAAAATTGTAAGAGTACTAGACAGGAGAGAGATGCACAAGGAGAGAATTCCAGGTATCTGCAGAATATTGATCAGTACCTGTATGGGAATAAATAACTGAGTTCGGGGGAAAATGACTGCCTAAAATATCAGAGGTAATTGTGTCCAGCATTCGCACAGGACTGGGAATAATGTCTCAATTGTCATACTGGAAAACACCTTTCGTTATTAATGGGACATTGTGTAGAGTATATAAAAAGATCTTACTAAGTAGTAAGAAACAATGAGCCCTAAACTGAGAACTGCTTTGGTTCCACCTAATAATTATTAGAGGCAAAACTGAAAAGGAAAAATAGACAATAAAGAAGATAAAATTGAATCACAAAAATATTGAGTTACTCCAAAAGAAGTCAGAAAAAGAGGAAAAACGGAAGAACAAACAAATGGGACAAATTGGGAACAAATAGCGAGATGATAGTTTTAAACCATTGTCAACAATCACACAAAATGTAAATGATTTTAAGTACTCCAGTTAAAACCCATAGATTGTCACTTTGAATAATTTTAAAAGGCCAAACTGTATGCAGCCTACAAAAAACACATTTTAAACTTAAAGATATAATAAGTTAATTATAAAGGATGCAAAAAAGTATACCTACTATTCTAACACCAATCAAAAAGTAAGTTGACGGGGAGTATGTGACAAAACTGGAACCCCTACACATTACTGGGGAGAAGGTAAAATCTTTAAATACTTTAAGCAAAACTAATAGAATTGCAGTGAGAAACTGATAAATCAAAAACTATAGTAAGAGTTTCAAAACCTCTCTTAATAACAGAGAGCAGGTATACAGAAAATCAGCAAAGATATGGAAAACTTGAACAATACTACCAACTCTGCCCTAATTGACAATTATAGAACACTTCACCAAGCAGCAGCAGAATATACATATTTTTTCAAGTTGACTTGGGGCAGATTAAAGGATAAACAAACTCATACCATAAACTGCTACTGAGCAATATAAAATAGACTTGGATAAAAATCAAAATGCGGAGGAAGCTCCAAATAATTACGTTGAGTTAAAGCAGGTAACTGTAAAAAATGTGCATTCTATGTTGTTGCATTTACATAAAATTCTAGAAAAATCAAACTAATCTGTAGTAGCAAAGCAGATCATTTGTTGCCTGAGGAAAGAGGCTAGAGTGCAGAGGGAAGGGAGAGAGGAATTACAAAATAGCAAGAGAAAACATTTGGGGATGCTTAATATGTTCATCATCTTGATTGTGGTGATAGTTTCACTGGTGCATACCTGTGTCTACACACTAGTTTGCACCTATGTCAAATTGTACACTTGAAAAATGTCTGTGAAATTACTGTTAAGTTAAACTATTTTGTTTTCAAGTCTAACCATTTAGCAAAATGCACTGCTGTTTATTTCCTAAAGAGTTCCACAAGTTGAGAATGAATGGTGTCCAAGATTACTCATATGTAAACTCTGAAACACTAAAATTCATAATGAGGCTGGGCATGGTGGCTCATGCCTGTAATCCCAGCACTTTGGGAGGCCAAGGCTGGCGGATCACTTGAGGTCAAGAGTTCGAGACCAGCCTGGTCAACATGGCGAAACCCCCTCTCTACTAAACACACAAAACTTACCCAAGTGTAGTGGCAGGAGCCTGAAACCCAGCTACTCGGGAGGCTGAGGCAGGAGAATCGATTGATTGAACCTGGGAGCTGGTGGTTACAGTGAGCCAAGATCGTGCCACTGTACTCAAGCCTGGGCAACAGAGCGGGATTCCATCTCAAAAAAAAAATAAATTAATTAAATAAAATTAATAATGAACTTTACATATAGTAAGCATCCATAAATATGCATGAATAAAAAATTAGTTTCTAATTCAATTATTATATCTGTGAGTCTATTAGACTTGTCAAACAATATGTCTGGTTTAGAAAATGTGTCACTGCATAAACTTTCCCTGCCAGAAGCCACTGTAATATGCTAGTCAATAATAATGTTGATATATGAGCACAATAATATTATATGTCACTCTTACCAATACCCACTACTTTCCCTAAAAGCAATACATGAACTGGAAGATGTTGCTTAATCACTGAAAAGTGAAAGACCTCAGAACAAGTAGTTTTCAAATCACAGCATTGGTGGACTCTAACTCCACCTACTGGCCCAGTAAGTCTTTATTGGACCCTCACTCCATTCAATTAATTATTATAGTATATTTTTCAAAATAATCCAATGATTTTTTTTTTTTTTTTTTGAGACAGAGTCTTGCCCTGTTGCCCAGGCTGGAGTGCAATGGCCTTATCTCGGCTCACTGCAACCTCCGCCTCCCAGGTTCAAGCTACTTCCTCCCAAGTAGCTAGGATTACAGGCACACACCACCACACCCGGCTAATTTTTTGTATCTTTAGTAGAGATGGGGTTTCACCATGTTGGCCAGGCTGGTCTCGAACTCCTGACCCCATGACCCGCCCATCTCAGCCTCCTAAAGTGCTGGGATTATAGACATGAGCCACTGTGCCTGGCCAATCTCCTGAATTTTATACACATATTCAAGTTGATGACCTCAGGAGCTGCTTAGGTTCTGAACATGGCAGTTCAATTTTCTGATAAGCTTTGTTTTTCTGCAGACTAGTTTTGATGAACTTTTAGCCTCATTAGGAGGTTTCCTTCATAGTCCAGGACTAATAAGGCTCTAAGGCAGTGGTTCCCCAAACTAGTTATTTATCTCTATAACTTGAAGAACTTTAAGAACTTACCAATGCTCAGTAGCTAAAACAGATCAATTCAGTCATAATGTTGGGATGGGGCCCAGATAAAATATCAAGATATTCTATTAAATAATTCTTTTAAAAATACTTTATAGGTAATCCCTAAAGATGCTCTATTTTCACACATTCTTGAACTCAAAAATAATATCCTGCATGGAGGATAACATAAACCGATACATGTCAAACTGTTCAGAGAAGAAACTGCCTGAAAGTAACCTTTGCAAAATCCCTTGAAATATTGATTTATTAGATGTAAAATAGATAAGTATATAATTTTAGCTCAAATAAATATTATGTTTTACTAGATTCTATTATAAATTTGGTATTTACATCAAAATTGCAATGAAAATTGCTGGAGGAAATACCTGATGTTGAAAGTGTTCTATCCACTAACTCTGAAGGCTGCAAATCATTGCTATTATTTTCATTTTAGCAGAGCAACACCTTACACTAACCTTCAAAGTTATAATTTAAGAAAGATATCCCTAAATGTATGCATCTTGGTTATTGATTTCTCTATGCACTCCTATCTTTTTTTCATTTTTTCTGTTGCATCCATCTCTTGATTTACATCCAGTCCACAGGAAGTAAGTAGCCTCCACACACTATACTGAATCTTTTTACAATAATCAATTATAAAGATTTGTATAAAACCATGAGCAAAGTCCTATGTAAGGTGGAGAATCAAGGGAAAGACTGAAACCAAAAAAAAAAAAAAAAGCATAAAACATAGTTCATATCCTTAAAGACAGTCACTTTTATAAACTCATGAAATCCTGTCTCTGTGTGACAGATTTGTTGTCCAGGTTTGTAACCCCTGATTCTCAAACTTGTACCTCAGTTTAGAGACAACAGAACTTTGGGGATGTAATAGTAGGCTCACTTGCTCACTTATTGAGCGTTAAGTCTACAGCACACATACGACTGAAGATTGGTGAGCTCTCAATCCTGTAATGTTCTCTGGCCCCACTCATGAATAATGGGTCAGGTCATTGCTCCATTTTTTTGTGGTCCCTCACTAGACCCCTTGGCTTAATTGTTTTGTTTTAACATAGACAGCTTTTAACGTCTCAGCTTGCCGAGAACTCCAGCTGTATTTTTTAGTCATCCAAATCTGTATTAGTTACCTAATGCTGCTGTAACAAACTACCACACATTTGATGGCTTAAAACCACAAAAATCTATTCTCTCGCAGTTCCGGAGGCCAGAAGTCCAAAATAAAGGTGTCATGAGAACTTGTTCCCTCTGGAGGATCTGGGGGAGAATCCTTCCTTGTTTCTTCCAGCTTCTGGTGGCTGTCAGCATTTCTTGGCTGTGGCTGCATCACACTCCAATTTCTATCTCCATCTTTTTTCCACATGTCTTATCTCCCTCTGCTTCCCTCTTATAAGACACTTCTGATGGTAGTTAAAGCCTACCTGGATAGTACAGGTTAATCTCCTCATCTCAAGATTCTCAATTATACCTGCAAAAACCCTTTTACAAATAAGGTAACATTTAGGGATTCCTGGGATGGGGATGTGGACATAACCATTCATGCCATTATTAGTCTACCACACGACTTTACAACACACATTAATTGTAGATGTGGGTAGCAGAGTTGAAGGGTTATAGGATTGGCTGCCATATCCCCACTTTTCCTCTTATCCTCATGCTTTCTTCCTTTTCCATATAGCCCCAAGGAGGAAAATAAAAATTCGAACACTACACACATATGAGCAAAAGATCCACAAAAGATCCTATTGATTAACTCAGCAGAGCTGACTATGAATTGCAATTCTCTCTCTGCTTAAAGAAAGATGTTTATGATCATTCTACTAAACAGTTACTTTTATCTGTCCAGAATATCACCCTCTTTTATCTGAGAAATGCTCATATGGTTTGGGGGGGTGGGGGTACCACCACCGGTCAAGTCCTGTGACCTAAGCTAATTAGGGTCCTCCTTTGTCAGTTTGAAAACTGAGATCGAGGAAGAAGCTTTCTTCTCTCATTGGTTGGCCACTGAATAATGTGACTGCAAAGCAGCTACAGAGATGGCTGTGTTTTCTGCTGAGTGGAGGTGGCTGAAAGACAAAGAGGGATGATACATGGAGAATGAGGAGAGAGAGAGGAAAATGAGAGGGAGAGAGAAAGAAAGAGCAACACGAATGATGAGTTTATTGTGTTCCTAGTGCTGCCTTCCCTTCCATTATGTGAATTATTATGTCCAATGTAATTCTAGCTGGTTGTGTGATACAAATAGAGTGAGGAATAAAATGCTTATGAATAAAATACCCAATGAAAGGTAACTAAGAGCTTGGGTTCCCATAGAATTCTGCAAGTCTGCTTTTAAAATTATTATTATTCTATTAATCCAGAACATATCCTCTCATTCAAACAGTGTATTCAGCCTCTCAGGAAAGCCTGCTCTGACTACATTAATTACAACTTACATACCGACCCCTCACCTCAAATAATTCGCTTCATTTTTTCTATAGTATTTATTTCCATATAGTATAATATATACTCAGTTTAATCTTTTTGTTTATTCTCTGTCTTCATCTTAAACCACCAACTAGAATATGACCTCAATGAGCATGGATATTTTTGTTCTTTTTTTTTTTTTTTTTTTTTTGTATACCACAATCACTAGAATAGTGCCTGGCACATTTCAGGGACTCAAAACATACATGTCAAGTGAAATAATTAGGTTTTTAGCTTGTTAAAGTCTATAATGAAAATTAAAATACTAGAAGAAGCTAATGGAATGCAAATTTAAGAATAATACGATTGAATAGAATACCTAATTGTATTTCAGCTATAATTATTTTGTATGTTTGAGCTTAGAGAAAAGCAGATTTAGCAACATGATTTAATGGAAAGAGACTAGCATTTAGAGTCAGATAAAGCTAGGTCAATTCCTGTGTCTGCTATTTATGAATCTGTGAGATCTTGAGCATGTTGCTAAACTCTGTGAGCCTTATTCTTCTCACCTTTGAAATAGAAAAAGTCATCCTTATCTTGCAGAACAGTCCAGATGTCATCTAAATGTTGCATAGGACTTACTCATGGAAATCTGACTAGACTTGGCCCAAACCCCATCTCCAGGCCTATGATTCTCAGTGCCTTTCCACCCCTTCCTGTGATTTACGATGCCTCACTTCCTTATGGGTGGAATTGCGTCTTCCTCCCACAAATTCATATGTTGAGGCTTTAATACCTGGTACCTCAGAATGTTACTGTTTTCGAGACAGGGCCTTTAAAGAGATGATTAATATAAAATGGGGTCATTAGGCAGGACCCTAATTGGATATGATTTGTGTCCTTCTAAGAAGAGGAGATTATGACACACACACACACACAGAGAAGTGTGTACACAGAGGAAAGAGCAAGTGATGACACAATGAGAAGGCAGCCATTTGCAAGCTGAGGAGAGAGGTCTCAGAAGAAATCAAACAAGCTGTGTGACACCTTTGACACCTTCATCTTGGACTTGTAACCTCTAGAACTGTGAGAAAATGAATGAATGTTGTTTAAAACACCCAGTTTGTGGTATTTTCTGATGGCAGCTCTAGGAAATTAATACTTTCTCTAGCTTCTTTCTACTAACAGGCCATTCCTTCAATCAGACTGTGCCAATTTGGTTAATCCCTAAAATTAAAATAGCAGCTCCTTCCTACTTTTCCAGACAAAATACAGCACTACACAACATTTAAGTGTTATGTTTTTAAGTGAAAATGTGAAGGACTCAGGATGAATTGCAGCATGGACAGTTCAGACTTGTGTCATGTAGCAGATGGCCTTGTCCCCTTTTCTCGGCACATTCTTCTTATGTTTTACATTGTAAAGTGCACTCCTGCAATAGGGCACATTGTTCTGTGTGTGACCCCTGAGGAAGTTTATCTCATACACAATTCTTACTGTTTCTGCCACGGATGAACCCCTTTGCCAGATTAGCAGATTATCAGTAGCCCCTGGAACTCAGATGATTACAAATGTGAAGATATTATCCCTTATGTAGGAATCAACATTTAGAAGCCATTAGTAATTGCAGCAGTTAGAAAACTGTGTATAAATTTTGAAAAAGTATGATGGAAAATGTAAGGTATAGTCAAGAACATCAGAAATTGAGCCACTGTTCCTTTAGACTGTCACAATTTTACTTTAGAAATCATACAAGGTTATCCTCAGTTATAAAATGGGTATAAGTAGCAGCTTCTTAACAATAAATGGAATAATTTATGCAAGTATTTAGTACAGGTCTTAAAATATATCAATCAAAGTTCTTTTACTATATTATGACATAAAGTAATATAAAATTATATATTTGTATTTTTAGTCGTATATGATAATAATAGCAATCGTGATAATTTTTGTCATCATTTACCTTATTCTTAATAGAGATATATTAACACTTCCTATGCAGGCTACTCAAAATAAAACTAGAAACATAGAAATTCCATGTTGGAAGGAACTGTAACATTTGCCAAATTTGACTACTCCCGTGATGATGTATTGCCTCCTAGATGTTTTTTTTTTTTTTTTTACTTTTTTCTCTGGTCATAAATGAGAAGAAGAAAGGCAGTTACTCCCTGGTAAATAAGCAAAATGTGAAAAAGGGAAACAAAGAAAGTTGAAAACAAGATATAGAGACCTAGAATCAGAAGACGGTTTTGTCTAAAGACACTTGGTTGGTTACTTTCCCAAGAAATGTGGTAGAAGTAGTGAGCCAAGCACCATTGGTGGGTTAGCAGATTGAACAGGCGAAACTGACGGTGCTGGTACATAAGAATCCAGACATAATGCAGTAAATATAAGAACAGCAGAATTTCAGAAAGACAAAACCCACTACAAGCTGCATAGCTAAAAGTCTTAATCAAGATTGAACAGAAATCCAGTTAGAAACAGCCTGAACCCCATAGGCTGGCCTGGCTTATTCCTCTTGTTTCCCACTTTACCAGTCTTTGTATAAGCACGATCACAATTATTCTGCTCATTTCATGTCAATTTCCATTTTTCACTGGAGTTAAAGGAAGCTTGTATTCATGAGCCTTCCTCAGATTTAAGTATATCAGAGACTTTTAAAAGAATGACCTTTTGTCTCTTTTGATGCTTTTGTCAATCTCTGTTTTCTTCTTTCTATATTTAAGATATTCCTCATGTTAAGAATGTTATCTTGTTGGTGCTGTGGCTTTTAAAAATTAGATAACATGTAAGATATATCTGATATCTTCTACTCTTTTTCACACAGTGATCCTTTATATTCTTAAAAATAACTCCTCATTATTATTTTTATGAGTGCTGAAACCCTCCTTAGGCATAAAATTTAGAGGTCATTCTACTAGTTTATAAGAAAACAATAACAAATATAGACTGACAACACAAGATTCTTCTTTAAAATAACAGTCTTTTAATCATCAAAGACTTGGAAATATGGATCTGATTTTTTCCCTTTTGTTAATTCTTTAAAATGTTTATAAGGATATGTGCAGAGTCAAGAAGTATTTTTCATGTCCCCAGGCTGATTGCTCTTAGATATTGTTCGGTGTCTGCATATTGAAACGTTCCCCAGAACTCTCAGAGATTATGATGTCATTAATGTTTTCTCCGTTTTATTTTTCAGTGTTACCAAAGAAGTGAATCATATAGAAAATGTCATCCAAGCTACTAGTTCATCTCATTTATTGAAAAACTGAATCATTTAAAATCACAAAAGAGAAAATCAAGGATAATTTAAACAACAGGACAGGAAAAGATGAATGAGAAATGAAGAGCAGATTCAAAAAGTATAATTTTGCTCTCAAACTGACATCATTTATAAATCTAAGTGCTTTGGCTTTTTATGCTTCTACAGTAAAGTTTGAACTAAAGAAGAAAACATATTTTAAAAATTTCTGATCAGCTATTTTCATAGACAGCTATTTACTAGTTATTCTATGTCCAATATGGTTACCAGTAGCCACATGTAGCCACTTGTACCTACTTAAATTGAAAGGCGGGGCACGGTGGCTCACGCCTGTAATCCCAGCACTTTAGGAGGCCGAGGCATGTGGATCACAAGGTCAGGAGATCGAGATCATCCTGGCTAACACGGCGGAACCCCATCTCTACTAAAAATACAAAAAAATTAGCCGGGCATGGTGGCGGGCGCCTGTAGTCCCAGCTACTCGGGAGGCTGAAGCAGGACAATGGTGTGAACCTGGGAGGCGGAGTTTGCAGTGAGCCGAGATTGTGCCACTGCACTCCAGCCTGGGCGACAGAGTGAGACTCCGTCTCAAAAAAAAAAAAAAAAAAAAAGAAAGAAAGAAAGAAAAGAAAAAGAAATATTGAAAATTAAATAAATTAAAATTAAATAAAATTTAAAATTCAGTTCCTTGGTCACACTAGCTACATTTAAGTGCCCATTAACCACACTGACTAGTGAATATCATATTGGATAGCACAGGGCATAGAGAATTTCCATTAGCACAGGAAGAGCTATTGGACAGCACTATACTAGCATATATGAAGTCTCCAAATGTGATACATAACAGGAGTTTTAACATTATAAACAAACACAATGCGAAATTTGGAAAGAAATGAATCACTACCCAGAAAATAAATAGTTAATAGAATAATACAGCAATTTGAATTGTCCTTTGATGAAAATTTTGGTCTCTGTATGGCAAACTGATATGTTTAGCCCATATAAGTTACATTTGATAGTTACAATAGAATATATAAAAATGTTTATTAATACAGCAGAATGTTGTATACCAACATATTTGAAAACTTTTCAGATGCAATTATTCAAAGACATCTTATGTGAAACTTAATATAGACCTGGTGAGTTTGCAATATTGATAGAGGGCCTCTTCCTGCTCACATGGTGGGCTTCCAGGACTGCTGGTATCCAGGGTAGCCCTAAGTCATCAGCCCTAAGCAAAATCTGAGGTATCAAAAATAAATAAATACATGAATAAGTAAATAAATACCCTTACCAGAGTAGGAGAGAGTAATTTAAAAACTTGAATATTAAGTCTGGGTGTGGTGGCTCACGCCTGTAATCCTAGCACTCCGTGAGGCCAAGGCAGGCGGATCATGAGGTCAGGAGTTTGAGGCCAGCCTTTCCAACATAGTGAAACCCCGTCTCTACTAAAAATACAAATCATTAGCTGGGCATGGTGGCAGGTGCCTGTAATCGCAGCTACTTGGGAGACTGAGCAGGAGAATCGCTTGAACCCAAGAGGCAGAGGTTGCAGTGAGCTGAGATCATGCCACTGCACTGCAGCTCAGGCAACAGTGTGAGACTCTGTCTCAAAAAAGAATATTAAGGATCAGAACTAAACCTAAGTTAGCAGTGAGGCCCCTCCCTATTCAAATAATATCAAAATACTTTTTTATTAATAACAACCTGAACATTTACATTTTATCTGTTAACCAGCACTGCTAAATAGAAAACAACATTCTGGGAAAATAAAATTGGTAATTCTGTCATGACTAAGAACAGGATTAAATTTTAGAAGGTAACTCATGCTTTTTACTCTTATGTACCAGAGGTTAAAGATGACTACAAGGGCATTGTTAATATATTTCCAATGATAAGAATACCAAAACAATTAAAAATGCCTTCCTTTCAGGATAACAAAGGAATTTTTGTAACATTCGGTACCATATGATAGAAAAATAGCCACCATGGAAATGAAGATTACTTAACTGGCTTATAGAAAATTAATTACTTCATTTTGATATGCATTTGTCATGCATAATTTACTAGAAAGTGATAGTTGTGTGAAATAATGTGTAAAAATTGCTTTACATTTATCAATGTAAGTGATTGGTTCTTAAATTCTTTCTAATTGAAAAAATATTACTAAAGATCAGAACTGAAGTATTTTGGGGGCAAAAACTTAAAAATATTAAATAGGTGCATCATGTCATCGTGCTCTTGTTTAAAAGCTACAAAATTCCTTTTGAACAACCAACATAACACCAAGAAGTTTGGCAGGAATCATTATGGGATGTTGATTTCTTATGCTGTTTTTGTTTTGGTTTTCCTGATTCATTCTCTGTCTAACACCAGTTGAATTAGATAATTTGAATCAGATCAGCTATGATGATGCCAACAACATTTTAAGCTTTGGTTTCTCATGTCCTAAAATAGCAATATAAAACACAAAGAAATGATGAGCTTTTTTTTTCATATGTTTGTTGGCCACATAAATGTCTTCTTCTTAAAAATGTCTGTTCTTATCCTTCGTCCACTTTTAGATGTTTTTTTTTTTCTTTTTTTTTCTTTTACATTTGTTTAAGTTCCTTGTAGATTCTGGATATTAAACCTTTGTCAGATGGGTAGATTGCAAAAATTTTCTCCCATTCTGTAGGTTGCCTGTTCACTCTGATGGTAGTTTCTTTTGCTGTGCAGAAGCTCTTTAGTTTAATTGGATCCCGTTTGTCTGTTTTGGATTTTGTTGCCATTGCTTTTGGTGTTTTAGTCATGAAGTCTTTACCCATGCCTATGTCCTGAATGGCATGGCCTAGGTTTTCTTCTAGGGTTTTTATGGTTTGGGGTTTTACATTTAAGTATTTAATCCATCTTGAGTAATATCATTTGAGAAATACCATTGAGAAATACCATTTGACCCAGCAATCCCGTTACTGGGTATATACCCAAAGGAATATAAATTCTTCTATAGAGACACATACCCATGTATGTTTATTGAAGCACTATTTACAATAGCAAAATCATGGAACAACTCAAATGCCCATCAATGAAAGACTGGATAAAGAAAATATGACACGTATACACCATAGAATACTATGCAGCCATAAAAAAGAATGAGTTCATGTCTTTGCAGGGACATGGATGAAGCTGGAAACCATCATCTTCAGCAAACTAACATAGGAACAGAAAACCAAACACAGCATGTTCTCACTCATAAGTGGGAGTTGAACAGTGAGACCACATGGACACAGGGAGGGAAACATCACACACAGTGGCCTGTCGGGGATGGGGGGCAAGGGGAGGGAGAGCATTAGGACAAATACTTAATGCATGCGAGGCTTAAACCTTAGATGACGTCTTCTAAACTTCTCTTCTGAAACTTGATCCTGTTCTTAGTCATGACAGCATTAACAATTTTATCTGTCTCTTTCTGGTTGATTGGAACAGGAAACCACCATGGCACATGTACACCAATGTAACAAACCTTCACATTCTGCACATGTATCCCGGAACTTAAAGTGAAATAAAACTAAACTAAACTAAACTAAACTAAACTAAAATAAAATAAAATCTTTTTGGGAAAAAAACGTTAAGTACTAAGTCTCAGTGACTAGTGGGACAACAGAAATGGGGCAAGTTCTAAAGAAATGTAAGACACGCACTCTTTATTCTTAAGGACAATATAGTTAAGGAGAACACAATTATCAAGTATTTTTAACCCCACTTAAAGGTGTGAGCAAATAAAATAAAATAAAATATTTTATTTTATTTTACACACAGCAGCAACGTCAAGGCACTATATAAATAATTGGCCGTGAAAAAGACCCTTTTAGAAACAACAACTCTCCTCTTGTGTGGCCAGTCCGCTGGATTTCTATGATTAGAAATATAGTAAGATATGTCTATGCCCTTTTATTCATCTTTAACCTTTTGGTACTTAGAAGTGAAAAACACAAGTTGGCTTCTAAAACTTGATCTTGTTCTTAGTCATGACAGCATTAACAATTTTATCTGTCTCTTTCTGGTGAGTGTATTAGAAGGCGTTAGAGACTTATGCCACTGACTTTACAGCATTTGCTTTGGGTTCTATCCTGAAGCAGCAAGGATGCCTACAATATGAAGTACATAAAGCATTAACACATTTAAAATAGATCCATTAGCAAACTAGCACTTCATTACTCTAAACTCCAGTTTCATTAGTCATAGTTCTGTTCATTAACTGGGTTGAACAGATTGCTACCTGATTTCTAAGGTGTTAAAAAGCATTTTAAAAAATGGGAGTCGAAGGAAACCTACTGACAACCGAATATTTTCAAAAAATACAAAGTTAACATCCTTTCTTATCATACTAGAGAAAAATTACTAAAATGTTTCAGGATATCTCCTTTTAATTATAGCCTAGAAGCAATCTCTAAATAGCCAAATTTTCTTTTGTCCCCACCAAGCGCCAAGTTGTATTATTTTTTAATCCAGAGTTTAAAATGTACTTTTGTTTACTATATTGCTTCCTTTTTAAACAGGAAATGCAGCTGTTCATGATTAAGAGTCACCTACTTGGAAACCTAAATCACATTAAATAGTGTTCATCACCAAAAATAGTTAGATGAGCTTTGAAACTTGTAAAACTATTGAAATTAATGTTCAGTCATTCTTCCCAAAAAAAGGAAAACAGATTTGAAAGTTTCGGTAGTAAATGTTAATATTCTGTAGGAACTGGGTAGTCTTACTAAAATAGCCATGTTTGTTAGGAGATAGTATCTCACAATGTTTGACAATTGACAAGGTTTGTTTCTCCTAATAAGAAAAGATTACTGGCTTGTACTCCCCTTGGGTAAAATGTTATATAGAACTCTAGAAGACAAAGGAATCCAGAAAAAAAAGGATAAAGGATAAAAAGGATAAAGCTGAAGAGACAAAAGTAAAGGCACATATTGTCATTTGCTGGAGATATCAAATAAACAAGGAAACAGTATAACCATCTGCCCTTCCCTCCTCAATACAGCAAATCACTTTTGAAGGACTCCCAGTTTTCATGTGTTTTGCTCATCTCTTGGTAGGAGACACAATTTGCTATGGATCCTGAGCATCCTTGTGCTTTCTGGCTGGTTATGCCAAGAATACAAGGCCCTAATTACTCTTTACTTGGATGATTTATCAGGACTGCACTTGCAGCTAGTAACATAAAGAATGGATAGCATCTATCCCCAAAGTAAGAGCAGGTTTGCTTCCACTTACTTTACATTCCATGAGCTCACTGTTCCTACCCTGCAATATAACCCACTTAGTGTACAGGCATCTAACCTGGACACACTTTCATTGCCCTGTGGGATGTAGGGCAAGCCAATATGAAGGCCTGGCTTTTAATTTATGGTGTGTAATAGAGTCCTTGTTTTTGACCCAAGAGTTATGTCTTCTGCCAGCATCCATGACACAATAATAGACTAGCTTATTAACTTAAAGTATATTAAAATCTCAGATATGCATAGTTCTTTACATTTTATATTCTCATAAAACTGCTTATAGCGGCACTATTCACAATAGCAGAGACTTGGATCCAACCTAAATGTCCAACAACAATAGACTGGATGAAGAAAATGTGGCACATATACACCATGGAATACTATGCAGCCATAAAAAATGGTGAGTTCATGTCCTTTGTAGGGACATGGATGAAACTGGAAACCATCATTCTCAGCAAACTATCGCAAGGACAAAAAACCAAACACCGCATGTTCTCACTCATAGGTGGGAATTGAACAATGAGAACACATGGACACAGGAAGGGGAACATCACACACCGGGGACTGTTGTGGGGTGGGGGGAGGGGGGGGATAGCATTAAGAGATATACTTAATGCTAAATGACGAGTTAATGGGTGCAGCACACCAACATGGCAAATGTATGCATATGTAACAAACCTGCACGTTGTGCACATGTACCCTAAAACTTAAAGTATAATAATAATAAAATTAAAAAAATAAAATAAGGATAAAACACTGATTTTTACAAATATAATACAAAATTATTAACCCCAATTTTTTTCATTTTTCTTCAGTACATGTTTTAACAGGTAAAATCCCAAATTGTGTTTGTGTTACTATTGTAAACTTAACGAAATTATTTAAAAAGTCATGAGAATTGTATTTTGCCATTAATGATATTAGGCCTTTAGTAAAGCAACTAGAGAGTAAATACTAGACAGTGCCAGATAACTGAGTTTACATTGTAGCCAAGACACTTCCTCGTGGGCTGTGATCTCCTGAAATTATTTCTCATTTTCCTAATCTGTTAAGTAGGTGTAAAGATACAGAACATGCCATATAGGCTTGATTTTGGTTTTTAACAAAGTAACTGTGTATGTAAGTGTGTCACATACTGGCTTTTACTGGTCTCCCAATGCATGCTTGTTATATATGTTTATGAATGGTGTTCACTTGAATTGTATATTATTAATTTTATTTTTAAATATATACAACTTCCACGTATGTCTCTTGAGGTTTGTTATTTGATTTTACTGGGCTGATTGAAAAGTTAGCATTAGCCTCCCCAGAGATTAATTTGTTAATGTAGAATACTGTCTTGCATATGCATGGCTGGCAGAGAATGTCTTATAGTTCCTTGGGAGCTTTTAATTTCCAGAGAATCTAGATTTCAGAAATATGCAATTTCCAGCCTTTATATTGAGTGTACATATATAAGGGAAAATTGTTTAGCAGCTACAATCTACATAGGAAAGGAAGGTACAGAATAGCTTCCTTTTATTAGAGACTGATTTACTGATTTCTATAGAAAACTCCAAAGATTTAAGTATATTGCCTAATTGCAGAGCTAAACTGTTAGGTTTAATGACCTCACTGAGGATGTGTACCTTTATGATCTCATATGGTTTTGAATACATAATGACTTCCCATGTTGCATCAGTAACAAAAGCTGCATACTGGGGAGTAACCATTGCCATATCATCCCAAGCCAGCAATCTAGTCATGCTTTCAGTGGGAAAAAAGAGATGGAAGAGACTATTAAAATATTTCTTATTTTATCAGAAGTTCATCTATTCAATATCAGAGAGAGAATGTAACAATACCACAGATAGAATGTAACATTTTAAAGAAAAAATACATGGAAAATTATAAGTAACCCATAGTCAAGAGAATACACAAGCATTAATAATTTATATCCTAAAGAAATAGTAACTATCAAAATATTGGCATTGTACAGTTAGTTTTTGTTGTAGTAATATTTTATGTTTTAAATTTTTGATTATTACCATGAAGTGCTTTTGTAGTAACAAGAGATCATATATGAAGTAGACATTCTATGCATCTTATGGTTTAAATAAGCTAAGACAGGGACACGTTTTTAAGAATTAACCACACTTCATAAAGTAAGTTAAATGTTAAGTTCCTATCTGACCTGTTAATTATATTCAATAATATTAAAGGGCAGCATTTGCAAATCACTTTTGTGCCTAGCATTTTAGTTTTTGGTGACAATTTATTATCTTGACCCTCATAATTAAATTACTTAATTATAGAATATTTAATGGTTCTTGATTATTATTGCTCTTTTCACTTTATTTTTCTCTCAACTGCATAAGAATATTCCACATTATTTCCCTTAATTTATGTATTTTATTGTAATGCCTGCTGACCTTTTATAGAAAATAAAATCCAAATGAAAATAATGAACAGATGCTAAATCTGTCACAAAGACTTGTTAATTTTTAAAGTCTTCACAGAAAATGTGGGTATATAACAGAGTCAGAATGACATTTCATATCATTTAAATTTCTAAATGATTTTCTTCTAGAAGCCGCAATGACTTACTGGTATCACAAGACACTTCTGTTCTCTTTAGTTGACAAAAACATGTCAATTTCACAGTTTCTAATATTAGTGTTAGGTTGAACTTAGGAAATTGCCAACATCTGACAATTTTTGACTTACAAAAATGGCAATTTCCTGTGGTCCTACTTGACTTTTTAAATAGGTAAAGAAAAACTACCTATTGAGTCCTATACTCACTACCTGGGTGATAGGGCTATTTATACCCCAAACCGCAGCAAAATACAGTATACTCATGTAACAAAAGTCAACATGTACCCCCTTAATCTAGAATAAAAGTTGAAATTATTTTTTAAAATTATCTGAACTGTCAGTGATGTAATAAAATAGTTTCAAAACATATTTATTTCCCAAAATATGTGGTGAGATGTTTCTAAACTATTTTTATGTGATGATTCCCTTTTCTGAGTTGCAAGCAACCTTCAAATATCTTAGGCTCCATAAACTAGTACTGATTAGAAAAGCTCTATCTAGAGGTAATTTAACATATTCTGTTTACCATTCCATTTTTTTTTCTTTTTAGAACTTTTTGATTCTGTGTCTATGGGGTAGTAATGCATGTAAGAGTAGAGCCAGAAATTTTCACAGGTCTCTGTTAAACAAAAACAAAAAAACAAAAAACATTGGCATGGGGATTTAATAAGGCCTTTCAAGAAATAATATCTTTTGGGTAAATTCAAGGCTGATTTTTTTAAATGGGGTCTTCCTGTACAAAATATATTTATTACAGCTGACCTTGTGCCCTCATTTCCTAGAGCGGAAGTAGTGCTTGGAACATTGTGTTCACGTAGAGCTTTCTGTAAATTAAGTTTGTCTTCTCAGTGGACAATGGTGGTTATTATGGTTGCCATGCATATGTTGATGACTACTAGAGCCATATCTCTAGCTCAAACTGTCTAAGCTTCAAACTCATATATCCAGGTGCCTGAAACCAACTCTTAATCGTATCACGGTTACCTGTTGCTATCCTAATGACCTGACAAGAAAACACTTAATGCTTTTTGGAAGAAAATACCATCAGCCAACGCTTTCACAAATTTCCTTACACTATATCAACAGTTCAGTGAAAACCCATAAGACATGTTAAAAACAATAACAATAAAAACTAAGAGGAAAAAAATAGTCATGGGTAATTCAGATGTTAGAGTTATCATTCAGGGACTTTACAGTAACTATGATAACATGTTCAAGAAAATAGTGGGAAAATGGAGCCTACTCTACAAAGCCCTGGTAATTTTTATTTTTGAGTCAAAATATATAAAATGTTGATCTAAATTTGTCATTCTACCACCTGGAACCCTTCAATGGCTTCTTTGTCGACTAGATATAGATAAACCCTTTACCATGTTATAGAAAACAATTCAGACCTGACCCTTTCTGCTCCTTGGTCCAACTCCCTACTGTTTCTTAGACATTTTGTGCTTTAGTTAGATCTAGCTACTAGCAGCTCACAAAACACAATTTAGTTTCATAATGCCATGCATTCACACTTGGTGCACCTGGAAATGGAATGCTCTCATTTTACCTGCTTATCAATCTGAAAAACATTTATTTATCTTGAAATACCAATCTCAAACAACAACTTTTCGGGGAAATTCTCCTTGAAATCCTCAGACCTATTTAGCCATTCCTCCAGTGTGCTTCCATAGCACCTGTTACATACTCTTGGAGTGCTTTCTTTGGTATCTCAATTGCATATACATTTGTTGATATCTTCTAGTAACCAAGAGCAGAGGTGACTCATACTGGCTCACAAGATTTGTAAAATTTTTAGGAATTTTGTAAATTGATTGTTAAACACAGTCATTATTAAAAATTGAATTACACAACTTTAAATGAAATAGATTATATTGAAGATAAACATTTACAGACTCATCAGTATGTATTATGTTAGAATCTGTGCTCTTTTGGTTATTTATGTCTAGTGTATCTGTTTGGTGGGAATAACATATAATGGTGTGCTAATGTTCACCTCTTCCCAAGTCTGTTTTCAGTGCTAATGTGGTGATAGCTTAAAATCAGCTGTAATAAGAGTTTTTACACTACAGATATTGACAAATGCTAAAAGCCAGGACTTGACGTTTTGTTTTATTCCTTATCTAAATGTAAGAAAGCTATGGAGAAAATGTTAATTATGCAGATTTTATTTAAAAGTTAGTTATACCTATAGCCTTAACATTGTAAATGGAACACAAAATTGAGGAAATATTCTTCCAGCATATCAAAACCATTGTCTAATTCAGAGCATTTTATTTATTTAAAAGTGTATTATTCCTATAACCTTTACATTGTAAATGGAACACGAAATTGAGGAAATATTCTTCCAGTATGTCAAAACCATTGTCTAATTCAGAGCAAAGTTGCTCCTATCATTAAGAAACAAGTAAGATTCTGACATACATATTTGAGATTTCACTTTCATTTTACTGGTCAACATAAATAAAAATGTCAAATAACAGTCATGTCAGAACCATACATGTTTATCAATAACATTGACATCATTGCTGAATCAGATAATAAGCAAGCATTTATCTGTGCTGTGATTTATTGGGATTCTATTGTGGCAATGCAATTATAAAAAGTTATAGTGGATTTTGCAAAAAATTTTGCAAGTCACACTGAAGTTATATGTTTATAGAATGTATAATAAATTCTATATTTTAGTTATAAATCATATGCTTTATGTCAGTAAAAGGTTTAATGAATTTGTATGTATATGTGCATAGACACACGTGCATACAATTTTTTGGAGAGGCAATTATTAAGCATTTACCAGAACTACACTGGATAAAAACTTCTTAAAGATAGGACTTATGTCTGAATCTTCTCTTATGTTTAATGCCTGGATAATAGGTAATTCAGTGGTTAATATAACATCTGATGAATTACTATTATTTTAAGCTCATATGCAGAGCCAGTATTAGATTTGACAACCTAAAATTGGAATAGAAATCATAGTTCAATAATAAGCGTTTAAGTCAATGACCTCATTAATTTGAGAAATTAGTAGGAATATTAAAGACAAAAAATGCATTTTCCAGGGTAGATTTGAAAAGGGCTCATTTTGTAAACATATGTGTTTATGGTAACACACACGTATTTGTCCTGTATGTTGCTTTGCCCAATACCCAAATGCGTGAAGTGGTCTATAATTCATAGCAAGCTACAAAGAAATTGCCTTATTTCATTATAGCTCAGGCCTTCATTTTAGACCCACACTTCACATTGTGCCTTAAGTATATTGTAGAGGACTTAGCAAAGACTCAGAAAGAAGCCAAGATTGTGTTTCACAAGGATCCTATAAGGACTTGTCTCATTTGACTCAAAGAATAGAAAACTAAAGAATTTATAACTTCACAGATAGAAAGAAATCTTAGAAGAGATATTTTTCATGACCATGTTCCAGGGAGGAATGAATCATATCTCCTTGAGTATTTTCTTTTTTGTGGGAGATATCAAATCATCTGTCTACAGCTAGAAGAAAGTAAAGTTAAAATTGTTAATTTATTTAGAAGGTTTTCTTTTACTGGACACATCGGATGTGCTCTTTGTACTTGAGGAAATTCTGCGTTGGGACTGATAACTTAAGTAATAAAGTAGTATTTTTTAGTAGAAATATACTAATAAGCCAGGACATGATAAGAAAGTAATGTCTTCAAATAGCAAAAACAATGAAGCAAAAACGGAAAAAGTATCATTTCAGAATTTTTGATCTTTTATGTTTTGATTTCTTAATTCAATATTCATATTCACCTTAAATCTCAGGCAGATACTGACTGGCTTTTTAGGGAGCATGTCTATTTTAGTGATTTATCTTAGACCATCATCAGCACAATGCATATTTTTACTTAAAAAAACCACGTAAATATGGTTTCCTGGAACTATGGTTTTCTTTTTCTACAACTTTATTGGTCTTAATAAAAACTGTATTATGTAAAACATTCCATGTTCTACCTTTACTCTTCCCTACGTCTTATGAGTTTCCACATCTGGGAATCTTATTAGGATTCAGGATTTGAATGCAGACAGAATAAAGCCGGAGTCCATGCCTTTTATGGCTCTGCGGTTGTCTCTCCCTACCCTAGCTGCTAGAACACTCTTGCTTTTTTCTCACTTCTTCAGAAATCCACCTACTACTTCCTTAGTGCTGGCATTAGGAAAACGATCTGATTTATGCAATAAGGATATACCAATGATTAACTTACGGTCTGTTTTTAACATGTAGGATGCAGTGTTGACATCTTAAACGTTGTTATGCTTTTCATTTTGTGACGGTTGTCTAATGATAGTTTACTGTTTTGCAGTACTATACGTTTACATACATACATATATATTTACAAATATTTATGTGTATACATATTTCTTAATAAAAAGATGGTTTTAAAAATATATCAAGTATTGGAAAAATATGCCCATTTACTGTCCCTTTTACAGTAAGTACAGCTATGTGGGGAACATTGCACTATATGCTTTATGAAAGTTTAGGTTAGCAGGACAGATTTCCATCTACTCTGGGGATTTTCTGTGTAACATTTAAAGAAGTAAAAGAGTAAGTGAGGGAGTAAAATGAAATAATCTTCCTGGGCCAAATAGTAAAGATATTCTTCATAAATAGAGATAATAGCTCTATATATTTATCATTTGAAACATTTATCTTTTAGCTGTGATTAATTTGTGTTAATCCATATCTAGACAGTGGATAAGAGTAGTCTCCTTTGGCTAATTAAACAATTCAATATATATTTGTTAAATGACTATTCTATGGGATAAACTATGCTAAGTACTACAATACATCAAAAAGGTGATAAACTATGATATAGTCCTTGCTTTTCAGAAACTTAAATTCTAAAAAGAGAGAAAATTATAGAAAAAGAAATATAGTATATGTTTAGGTATTTTAAGAACAATGAGAGAAAACATGCTATTGGAATTCGGGGAACTAAGGGTTAATATATGGTTGTTAGAAGCAGGAAAAGATTTCTAAAGATGATATTATGTAAAATGACCTTGAGGAATCAGTAGCATTTCAACAGATGGAAATGGGGGAAACATAGGGATTTCAGGAGCCCTGGAGCCCTGAAGACAAGTACCTACTCCCATCCCTGGTTCTTGTACCTCCCTGCTCAGAAACAGAAACACAAAAATAAAGTGAAACAAAACAAACAAATTAAAACTGCCTTGCCTCCTGTTGGAAGCTAGAGACCTTGAGTCTTGCATAAGAAATAAAGGTGAGTAAAGCCATATTTTTATAATCTTGGTGAAGGACCAAAAGCCCGATTCCTAAAAAGAAGTTTGCACCCCTTGGAGCACCTGTGGATGTCCTCATAACTGACCAGGCAGATCCTCAAGATAGAGTGCTGGACTGCCCTGAATCTTGCAGCTCCAGAAAGCTCCAATTATGGTATTAACCCTTGTCCCACCACAAAGGAGATGAGACCTTGGGCTAAGAATGGGATGCTTAAACTATACCTGAGAACACAAAACATCCACTCCACATCCTAACAGTTGTTAGTGTGTGTGTGTGTGTGTGTGTGTGTGTGTGTGTGAAGTAAAGTAAAAAGAATAAGAGATATCATATAGGACAAAAAAGTAAATTTACTGTGCCAACCGAGAAGACTCAATCTCACTAGTAAGGGTTATAAAAAAAAAAAGAAAGAAAGAAAGAAAAAAAATGGAGAGACATTTTCCACAACTGAAGAATATAAGCCTCTAGATTGAAAGAGCTCATTGAGCACCCAACACAATGAATGAAAAGAAACACACACACAAAGGCATTGCATTCTGTAATTTCAGAACAGCAGAGATAAAAATTGTAAAAGCATCCAGAAGAAATAAAAAAGAGACAAAACAAATCTAGGTCACATGTAAGTAATAGGAATTCTCAACTTTAACATGGAATAGTAAAAATATTGTACCAAAGCTCTCAAAATTCTGATTAAAAGTCATTTTTTTTCAGCCTAGACTTCTCTACCCAACCAATTAAGTATGAGACAATTGAAAAATTTCCAGTAACATAAATGTACAATACAATATCACATATGTAACATTCTTTCAAAAATATTAAATCTGAATGTAATTATGAGAATAATCAGGCAAATGCAGAATGTGGAATGGTGTACAAAACAGTTGGTTTGGACCACTCAAAAAAGTTAATATTTTGGGAAGCAATAAAAGGTTGGGGAACTATGCTAGCTCTAAAAACACTAAACAGATATAATCATCAAATGCAATTCAAAATTCTTTATTGGGTTCTGATTTTTGAAAAATAGCTATGCAAGATTAAAATAGCTACAAAATTCATAAATGCTTGGGACAATTGTAGAAATTTAACTGGGGACTTCACAGTAATGTGAATTTATTGTGATTTTTAAGGAGTAATAATAATACATTTATGTAGAAGAATGTCCCTACACTCAGGAGATAGAAGCTGAAGTATTTAGGGATAAAATATCATGTTTCTGGAACTAATTTGCAAATGGTTTCTTAAAAAATATATATATAAGATAACACAAATGAGACAAAATGTCAATAATTGTTGAATCTAGGTGAAGGGTAGATGAGTTTCCATTAACATCTTGTTCCAACTTTTGTATAATTTAAATTTATCACCAAAAAAATGAAAACAAAAGCTACAGTGAGTAGGGGGGCAGTGTAAAGCTAAACAAGAAAGAATCAAAATATTTTTCTCCAAAATACCTCTTAATAGAGGTTATTGAAAGAGATGTTTCAGCAAGAAATTAAAGCAAGGAAAAGATGGAATCTGGCCAAAGGAAATTCACTACCAACAATGGTGAAAGAGGCCTTAGGAAAACACCTTGGCCTTCAGGCCTAGAAATTCATCAATGTGGACCAGAGCACAATGACACAGTTCTTCAGGTGATAGTCTCCATGTTACACATAAAAACATTATGGATGAGCTGATGTCTTTGAATCTTAGAAATATTACTGCTAGTTTAATATGACCATTGGGACAATTGATGAAGACATTTCTAAATATTTGGAAAACCAAGAAAATAATAAGATGAATGAACAATTATTAACGTTGGAAGAAAGGAAAAGGTGTATGAGAATAAAAACAGAATTATATTAAATAATTTATGTCATAAGAGGATACAATTATGTATTCTCACTCAATAATATTAATATTGACTAATGAAAAATTATGATGAAACTATATTGGGAAGATAAGTAAGGGAAATAATAGAACTAAATTTAACAACCTGAATGGACAGCCAATAGAAAATGACAAAATTTATAAATCCAACAACAATAACTTAGCTATATTACTTAATAACACAAAAATGAATACTAAAATAATAGATGAAAATACTGAAAGAGAGCTGAAGGTTAAAGGAGAACAAGACAAGGAACTACTATTTTGGGGACATAAGCTTGTTTGTATTATTTCTAAATAATCTGCATGTAATTGTTTTATAAATACTAAAATTAACTTTAGAACATTGAACAAAATTTAACTCAATAGCAACTAATTAGGGTATTCAAGGAACAAATAGAGAAACTATTTCATACTGCAGAGCAAAAATATAATGAAAAATGACAAGAGATGGAAGTTAGATTCAGAAAGCTTCGTATGTAAATAATAGCATTATATGATGGTAAGACCACGTGAAAATGAAGAAATAAGGAAATAAAATTTTTAGAAGTTTCTTAAGTTGATAAATATATTAGTCTTTTCATTAAATGGGCTTAAAAGTGTTAGTCAAGACTAATGTCAAAGATTTCACATGTAGGTATTTTCTGCTGAAACTCCTGAACAAGATAAAGAGAGATTTGTAAGCCTCCAGACTGAAAAGAATTTATGAAGTGCTAGGGTAGGGTGGAAGTGTATTCCAGGGAAAGAGATGCGCCAGCACCAGGCACAGAAAACCTGAAGGTTTTTCCAGAAGTAGGGAATAATCGAGACGGATGGCTAGTGTTTAAAATTAATGACCACAAAGAGAAACAAAACTAAATCATTCAGAGTGATTGATAACTGGAGTGTATAATTACTAGCTTGTTTGAACATGCTGCTATGACAAATCTGCATTAGCTTTGTTAGTGTAATTTACTCGAGTAATAAGTCTCATCACACATAATTATTTTACTTATGAGATTTAAAAATCATATAATGTACACAAAGTCTTTTTTTTTTTTTCTTTTTTGAGATGGAGTTTCATGCTTGTTGCCCAGGCTGGAGTGCAATGGCACAATCTCAGCTCATTGCAACCTCTGCCTCCCAGGTTCAAGTGATTCCCCCTGCCTCAGCCTCTTGAGCAGCTGGGATTACAGGTGCACACCACCACGCCTGGCTAAATTTTTTTGTATTTTTTAGTAGAGATGGGGTTTCACCATGTTGGCCAGGCTGGTCTCGAACTCCTGACCTCAGCTGATCTGCCCACCTTGGCCACGCAAAGTGCTGGGATTACAGGCATGAGCCGCCAGGCCCGGCCACGAAGTCTTTATTTCACTCCTTCTTTCCTTTTTAGTTCCCTCTTTTTTTCTTTTATTTATTTATTTAATCAGTAATGACTCCATAATTTTTACTGAAAGTTGACTACAGTTTAAGGATCCTGTAGTTTATAGTTTCTATCTTAATTATGATTATTAAAAGGAGAAGAAAAAATTCCCAGTGGGATAGTAACAAACATGTTAACACCACCATAAAGTTAGCACAGTTGTTCTTGTATACCCAAATAGAAAAACTTATTTTGAATTTCTTAAATAGTCATTATTATTGATGAAAATTCTAAATAAGTCTTAGAGTAGGTATTGCTGCTTCAATGATATGCTGAGTTTAATAAACATTGATACCTGATCCATGAAATATTATTTAAGTTTATGTGAGAATCATTAATCTAGTAAAATGTGATATATGGATACTTACCCAACATGAAATCTAAACCAAGATCACATTGTATAAAATTGTGCTAACTGAAAACAGATCAAAGTTAATCAAATTGACTAACAGGTGTTTCTACCATTTTTTTGTCTCAGGGTTATGATGATGGCTACGGGGGTGAATATGATGACCAGACCTATGAGACTTATGATAACAGCTATGCGACCCAAACACAAAGGTAAGGCATTTGCTATCTAAAGCAGCCTTCTCAGGATTATCTCTAATCAATTTTGTTTCTTGAATCTGAATGTCAATTATATCATGTGAGAATTTCTAGTAGTGTTTTTTCTCCATTATCTTTCTGAATTATCAAGTTGCTTACCAGACTGTGAGAGTTAAACTATAATAACCTTGCAACTGCAAGCAAAGAAATAGTAGTGTGTCATTCTAAGACTAGATGATTATGGCAACCAATCAACTCGTTAAATAAGCTTGTATTTAACTAAATGTTATTTTTAGATTTTTTTAAAAGACAATAATAAAAGTAAGGCACTTGTTCAATGTAGCTTTTTTTTTTCCTAAAATATCACATTTATTTGTAAAAGATAATAAAATGTCATTGGTACTCTGGAAAGAGGGAAATTTCTGAAACATCTTAGGGAATCAAGAATTCCTTTGCTTTCTTGATAGGTCTCATATTGATTGTTGAATATATCTCGTTAGATTGACCCAAAATTTGTGATATAAATGATTTTTTATGTCTTCAAAGTCAGATTTATTGAGATGTTATTTATATATGATGAACTTTACCCATTTAGAATACAGCTGTATACGTTTGGCAGATGCAAACTACTGTGTAATGACCACCAAAATTAAGATATAGAGCATTTTCACCATCCAAAAATGCTTCTTCATGGCCCTTTGTAGTTAACTTCTCCTTCATCCTCAGGCTCTGGAAACCAACTATCTGTTTTTTGTTACCATAGTTTTACCTTCTCTAGAACACCTTGTAAGAAGAAACAATATAATAATGTAACATTTTGAGTGTGGATTTTATTTTTGTTAACTATGAAGAAAATAGGTGTAAAACAAATGCATTTTTAGAAAATTCAATCACCCACTTTTTTTTCTTAAAAGTGTTACAAATTTCACAGGAAAATACAGGGGGATCTATGAGTTAAGTGAGTTTCCCATTTATGTGATTGACAGAAGCCAATGGAACTTACTGTTGCAAAATCATTATAGCATTGATCATTTCTTGACCAACTTTATTGGCAATAAACCTCCTTTAGGACTTAAGTAATATTTGAGGTGGCAAAGAAGAAAACAACTTAAAGGTCATTATAGTTTAGAATAAATCTACATGTATTGTGGAAGTTTGGATTTTCCGTGGCCTGAGTGACAGCACAGTAAAAGTATTGAAGATAAATTTTATTTAGAGGGAATACTGTGGGCAATTAGAAATAAGATGAGTGTGAACTGATATCTTTAAAACTAAGTATGATTTAAGTTATCACTGTAGAAATGACCATCGCTGACACTGAATAATTGGTTAATTTCTAGTAAGCTAAATAGAGAAGCCATCATGAGCCAAGCGCTTTTGCTGTAATATCTTAATTGTCCCAATTACATATTGGAAAACAACACAGTCATTTAGGCTTAGGGTAAGTTTTGCATCACATTACAGATATTGAACCGAGTATTATATGCAAATTGGCTACATATTTAGACTGTCTGCTAATATTTTCAATCAAATTGTTAGTTTATCATTATACATTAGCACATAAAAATAGTGATAACAAAGTTCCATAACTAGTTTCAGAAACCCTTGATAGAAAGTGTAGTTACTACACTCGACAAACACAATTAGAATAGACTAAAATAATTCCTTGATGCAGCTCTGTAGAGCTACAATTAAATAGAAGAAATTTTGGAATAATTTTCTGATAATGAGGGACATTCTCTCTTCTGGTGAGATTTAAGTGAGCTTAACTGACCCTAAGAAACAAGAAGAAAAATATGAGATTAAGATAATTTAGCTTTGAATATCTGAAAAGTGAATGTTAGAATTGTTGAACACACACACACACACACATATATATAATGGCTGTATACAATAATTTTAGAATAAAACTTGCTTTAATAAAGTATAATTTATATGTAAAGGGACATTTTCTACACACTTCTGCTGCCTTCCCTGTCTCCTTTCCTATCCACTCAATTTTTGTAGCTAAATTCTTCCCATCCTTCCAGCCCCAGCTCAAAAGCCAACTCTTCTAAAAAGTATTTTCTTTATTGTGTTTTGGAGAATAATCTGTTTCTGCCCTGAATTCCAATAGCACCATATATTTACTTTTCTATAGCATTTATTTCTCTGCCTTACATTGGGATTATTTGTGTACATGTCCCCTATCATTTTCGTTATTTGTTCCAAATCCTTTTCTAATACAGCCTCATCTCTCTCACAATACTAGGTACAAAGTCTTTCATGGGGTATGCACTGAAGGGATAATTGTTGAGTATGTGAATGTCGAGCCTAATATGTTCTACACCATGGGGATACAAAATAAGAGCCTCATTCTTCAAAGAGAATACTGACAGAATATTTATGTGCTTCTCTGATACTTTACTGTTAAGCCAGAGGGACAAAGAAAGTAGGTGATGAAATTAGTTGCAGTGATACCAATGTCTATATTACAATAATGATAAAATGCCTATTTTGGTCAAAATTTTATCCTCAATACTAGTATAGTTTCTGAAACACTAGAGGTTCTCAGTAAAGATTTGTTGAAAAAATAAATGAAAATGAGTACATGCACTAATTAGTAAACTATTTTTTTCAGAAAACTGTGAAAAATAATTTTTTAATATCGTGCCAATTTCTAATAGAAATAGATACACACTAGAGTTCTTATTAGATCAGGTGTTCAATGCTTGCCTTTAGATTATTTTTTAATCAATTGTATTTTATCAAAATTAAATTTTGTTCTCTAAAAGACACTGTTATTAAATAAAATGGCAAGCTACAAACTGTGAAGCAATATTAGCAAAACATATATTTCTAAAGAATATCTTTGATTGTATCCAAAATATGCAAAAACTGCTAAAACTTTAGAATCAGATAAATAACCTGCCTTTTAAAAATGGGCAAAAAAATTTGAACTGACATTTCACCAAAGAAGATATACAAATTGCAAATAAGAGTCTAAAAATATGTTCAACATCATTATTCATTAGGAAAATTGAAATTAAAACCACAATTAGATACTAGTACACAGATTGTGGAATGGCTAATATTAAACAGATTGAATTATCAAATAAATGTTAGTGAGGATGTGGAGCAACTGCAATGCTCATATATTGCTGATAGGGATGTAAAACTGTAAACCACTTTGGAAAACAGTTAGGCAGTTGCTTAAAAGTTGACCTACATTTACCATATGACCCAGCAGTTCTTCTCTTCGGTATTTACCCAAGTGAAATGAAAACATTCATCTGTCATGGCGGTTTGTTGTGCAGATTATTTCATCACCCAGGTATTAAGCCTCGTACCATCAGTTCTTTTTCCTGATCCTCTCCCTCCTCCTGAAGGCCAAAAGGCCCCAGTGTGTGTTGTTCCCCTCTATGTGCCCATGTGTTCTCATCATTTAGCTCCCACTTATAAGTGGGAATATGTGGTATTTTGTTTTCTGTTCCTGTGTTAGTTTGCTAAGGATAATGGCCCCCAGCTCCATCCATGTGCCTACAAAGGACATGATCTCATTCTTTTTTATGGCTGCCTAGTATTCCATGGTGTATATCTACCACATTTTCTTTATCCTGTCTATCAGTGATGGGCATTTAGGTTGATTCCACGTCTTTGCTATTGTGACTAGTGCTGCAATAAACATACAAGTGCATGTGTCTTTATAACAGAATGATTTATATTCCTTTTGGTATATGCCCAATAATGGGATTGTTGGGTAGAATGGTATTTATGGCTTTAGGTCTTTGAAGAATCATTACATTGTCTTCCACAATGGCTGAACTAATCTAATAACAAACCTTCACTTGTATCCCTGAACTTAAAAGTTTTTTTAAAAAGAAAATATAGTAAAAAAAGAAGAAGATAAATACAGTCACCCAGAAACAGCTGTTGTGAACATTTTTGGAGTATCTATTTATCAATGTATCATCTTTTTATCTATCTTTCATGTGTGTTAATACATCTACCTACATTTGAAATCATATACTGCAAACTGTTTTGAAATTTAAGTTTAACTCTCCAGCACATAAGAACATCTATCTATGTTAATAAATGAATGTCTACAACATAATCTTTAATGGCTGTACATTGTTTCATTCTATGATTTGATCACAATTTAATCATTCCAGTACAGTTAAATGTTTAAGTTATTTTCAGTTTTTCATAACTCTAAACAAATATGTGATTAATATCTTTGTAGCTAAATCTTTTTTTTTCTTCAACTTTTATTTTAAATTCAGAGTCCATGTGCAGGATGTTCAGGTGTATTACATAGGTAAACAAGTGCCATGCTGGTTTGCTGCACAGATTATCCCATCACCTAGGTATTAAGCCCAGCATCCATTAGCTATTCTTCCTGATGCCCTCCCTCCCTCCACAACCCCCCTCCAAGAGGCCCCAGTGTGTCTTGCTCCCCCTGTGTGTCCCTGTGTTCTCATCATTTAGCTCCCCGTTAATAAATGAGAACATGTGGTTTTTGGTTTTCTCTTCCTGCATTAGTTTGCTAAGGATAATGGCTTCCAATTTCATCCATGTCCCTGCAAAGAACAGAATCTCATTCCTTTTTATGGCTGCATAGTATTCCATGATGTATATGTACCACATTTTCTATATCCAGTCTATCATGTTGGGTAATCAACCCAACATGGTTTAGGTTGATTCCATGTCTTTGCTATTGTGAATAGTGCTTCAGTGAACATATGTGTGCATGTATCTTTATAATAAAATGATTTATATTACTTTGGGTACATACCCAGTAATGGGATTGCTGGGTCAAAGGGTATTTCTGCTTCTCAGTATTTGAGAAATCAATCCACTGTCTTCCACAATAGTTTAACTAATTTAAGCTCCCACCAACAGTGTAAAAGTGTTTGTTTTTGCCTGCAACTTCACGAGCATGTTTTTTGACTTTTTAATAATAGCAATTTTGACTGGTGTGAGATGTTATCTCATTTTGGTTTTGATTTTTCTCTAATGATCAGTGATGTTAAGCTTTTTTCATGTTTGTTAGTCACATATATGTATTCTTTTGAGAAGTATCTGTTCAGGTCCTTTGCCCAGTTTTTAATGGGGTTGTTTGTTTCCTGTAAATTTGTTTAAGGTCCTTGTAGACTCTGGATATTAGACCTTTGACAGATGGATAGGTTGCAAAATTTTTCTTCCATTCTGTAGAATTTTTCTTCCATTCTGTTCGTTCTGATGATAGTTTATTTTGCTGTGCAGAAGAAGCTCTTTAGTTAGATTCCATTTGTCAATTTTTGCCATTGTTGCAATTGCTTTTGGCATTTTCAGCATGAAATCTTTGCCTGTGTCTATGTCCTGAATAGTATTGCCTAGCTCTTCTTCTAGAGTTTTTATAGTTTGGATTTTACATTTAAGTATTTAATTTATCTTGAGTTAATTTTTGTATATGGTGTAAGGAAGGGGTCCAGTTTCAATTTTCTCCATATGGCTAGACAGTTCTACCAGAACCATTTATTAAGTAGGTAACCCTTTCCCCATTGCTTGTTTTTGTCAGGTTTGTTGAAGATCAGAAGATCAGATGGTTGTAGGTGTGTGGTCTTATTTCTGAGTTCTTTATTCTGTTCCATTGTTCTATATGTTTGTTTTTGTACCAGTATTGTGCTGTTTTGGTTACTGTAGACTTGTAGTATGGCTTGAATTCAGGTAGCGTGATGTCTCCAGCTTTGTTCTCTTTGCTTAGGATTCTCTTGGCTATTCAGGCTCTTTTTTGGTTCCATATGAATTTTAAAATATTTTTTTCTAATTCTGTGAAGAATGTCAATGGTAGTTTTAATGGGAATAGTATTGAATCTATAAATTACTTTGGGCACTGTGGTCATTTTCATGATATTGATTCTTCCTATCCATAAGCATGGAATGTTTTTCCATTTATTGCTTCCTCTCTGATTTCCTTGAGCAGCGGTTTGTAGTTCTCTTTGAAGAGATCCGTCACTTCCCTTGCTAGCTGGACTTCTAGATATTTTATTCTTTTTGTGGCAGTGATCAATGGGAGTTTATTCATGATTTGGCTCTCTGCTTGTCTATTGTTGATGTATAGGAATGCTAGCGATTTTTGCACACTGATTTTGTATCCTGAGGCTTTGCTGAAGTTGCTTATTAGATTAAGAAGCTTTTTGGCTGAGATGATGAGTTTTCTGGATATAGGATTATGTCATCTGCAAATAAAGAGAGTTCGACTTCTTCTCTCCCTATTTGAATATGCTTTGTTTCTTTCTCTTGCCTGATTGCCCTGGCCAGAACTTCCAGTACTAAGTTGAATAAGAGTGGTGAGAGAAGGCATCCTTGTCTTGTGCCAGTTTGTAAGAGGAATGCTTCCAGCATTTGCCCATTTAGTATGATATTAGCTGTGAGTTTGTTATATCTGACTCATATTATTTTGAGGTATGTTCCTTTAGTATCTCGTTTATTGAGAGTTTTTAAAATGAAGGGATGTTGAATTTTATTGAAGGCCTTTTCTGCATCTATTAGTTCTGTTTATGCGATGAACCAAATTTATTGATATCTGTATGTTGAACCAACCTTGCATCCTGGGGATGGAGCCAACTGGATCATGTTAAATAAGTTTTTTGATGTGCTGCTGGATTCAGTTTTCTAGTATTTTATTGAGGATTGTTGCATTGATGTTCAGCAGGGATATTGGCCTGAAGTTTTCTTTGTTTCTTGTATCTCTGCCAGGTTTTGGCATCAGGATGATGCCAGCCTCATAGAAGGAGTTTAGGAGGAGTCCCTCCTTTTCAATTTTTTGGAATACTTTCAGTACACTACTAGCTCATCTTTGTACCTCTGGTAGAATTCAGCTGTGAATCTATCTGAGATTCTGGTCCTGAGATTTTTTTGGTTGGTGGGCTATTTATTACTGCCTCAATTTCAGAACTCGTTATTAGTCTATTCAGGCATAAAATTTCTTCCTAGCTTAGTCTTATGAAGGCATAGGTGTCCAGGAATTTATGCATTTCTTATAGATTGTCTAGTTTATGTGCATAGAGGTGTTTATAGTATTCTCTGATGGTCGTTTGTATTTCTGTGGGGTCAGTGGTGATATCCCCCTTATCATTTCTGATTGTGTTTATTTGATTCTTTTCTCTTTTCTTCTTTATTAGGCTAGATAACAGTTGATCTATTTTTTTAATGGTTTCAAAAAACCAGCTCCTGGATTCATTGTTTTCTGAAAGGATTTTCATGTCTCTATCTCCATTAGTTCCACTTTGATCTGGGTTATTCCTGTCTCCTACTAGCTTTGGGGTTTGTTTGCTCTTGGTTCTCTATTTCTTTTAGTTGAGATGTTAGGTTGTTAACTTGAGATATTTCTAGCTTTTACATATGGGCATTTATTACTATAAATTTCCCTCTTAACACTACTTTAGCTGTGTCCCAGAGTTTCTGGTACATTGTCTCTTTGTTCTAATTAGTTTCAAAAAACTTCTTAATTTCTGCCTTATTTACCCAAAAGTCATTCAGGATCAGTTGTTCAATTTCCATGTAGTTGTGTGATTTTTCGTGAATTTCTTAATCTTGAGATCAAATTTGATTGCACTGTGGTCTGAGACACTGTTATGATTTCAGTTCTTTTGCATTTGCTGAGGAATGTTTTACTTGATTATGTGCTCAATTTTAGAATAAGTGCCATGTCATGATGAGAAGAATGTATATGCTCTTGTTTTGGGGTGGAGATTTCTGTATATATCTATCAGGTCCACTTGATACAGAGCTGAGTTCAGGTCCTGAATAACTTTGTTAATTTTCTGTTTAGATTATCTGTCTAATATTGTCAGTGCAATGTTAAAGTCTCCCACTACTATTGTATGGGAGTCCTAAGTCTCCTTGTAGGTCTCTAAGAACTTGTTTTATGAATCTGGTTGTTCCTGTATTGGGTGCATATATATTTATGATAGTTAGCTCTTCTTGTTGAGTTTAACCCTTTACCATTATGTATTGCCTTTCTTTGTCCATTTTGATCTTTGTTGGTTTAAAGTCTATTTTGTCACAAACTAGGATTACAACCCCTGCTTTTTCGTTTTCCGTTTGCTTGGTAAATTCTCCTCCATCCCTTTATTTTGAGCCTATGTGTGTCTTTGCACATGAGATGGGTCTCTTGAAGACAACATACCTATGGGTCTAGGCTCTTTATCCAGCTTGCCATTCTGTCTTTTAATTGGGGCAATGAGTCCATTTACCTTTAAAGTTAGTATTGTTATATGTAAATTTGATCCTTTCATCATGATGCTAGCTGATTATTTTGCAGACTGTTCACATGGTTGCTTCATAGTATCACTGGTCTGTACTTCAGTGTGTTTTTACAGTGGCTGGTAATGGTTTTTTCTTTCCATATTTAGTCTATTTTTAAGAAGCTCTTGTGATATAGGCCTGGTGGTGACAAATTCCCTCCACATTTGCTTGTCTGAAAATGATCTTATTTCTCCATCATTTATGAAGCTTAGTTTGGTCAGATATGAAATTCTGGATTAGAAGTTCTTTTCTTTAACAATATTGAATATTGGCCCCCAATCTCTCCTGGCTTATAGGGTTTCCACTGAGAGGTTCTCCACTAGTCTGATAGGCTTTGCTTTGCAGGTGACCTGGTCTTTCTCTCTGGCTTGCCCTTAAATTACTTTTCTTTCACTTCAACCTTGGAAAATCTGATGATTATGTGCCTTGGGGTTGATCTTCTCATGGAGTATCTTACTGGGGTTCTCTACATTTCCTGAATTTGAATATTGGCCTGTGTTGCTAGGTTGGGGAAGTTCTTCTGGATGATATTCAAGTTTACAACTTCGTTCCATTCTCCCTCTCCTTCAGGTACCCCAATCAGTCATAGGTCTGCTCTCTTTAAATAATCCCATATTAATCAGAGGTATTGTTCATTCTTTTTCATTCTTTTTTCTCTATTCTTGTATGCCTATCTTATTTCAAAAGATAGTCTTCAAGCTCTGTCTTTCATCCACTCAGTCTATTCTGCTATTGATACTTCTGATTGCATTGTGACGTTCTCGTATTGAGTTTTTCAGCTCCATCAGGTCAGTTATGTTCCTCTCTAAACTGGCTATTCTGCCTATCAGCTTCTGTATTGTTGTTTTTTTGTTTGTTTGTTTGTTTGTTTGTTTTTGAGATGGAGTCTTTCTCTGTTGCCAGGCTGGAGTGCAGTGCAGCTTCTGTATTGTTTTATTATAATTCTTAGCTTCTTTGCAATTGTTTTACAGCTTGCTCCTTTAGCTTAGCAAAGTTTGTTATTACGTACCTTCTGAAGTCTACTTCTGTCAATTCAGCCATTTCAGCCTCAGCACAGTTCTTTGACCTCCTTGGGGAGGTGTTGTGGTCATTTGGAGAAGAGGCTCTCTGGCTTTTTGAGTTTTCAGCATTTTTGCATTGATTCTTTCTCATCTTTGTGGCCTTATCTACCTTTGATCTTTGAGGTTGCAAACCATTGAATGGGGTTTTTGTGGGTTCTTTTTGTTGATATTATTGTTGTTTTCTGTTTGTTTGTTTGTTTGTTTGTTTTTTATGGTCAGGCCACTTGTCTATAGTCCTGCTGTGGTTTGCTTGGGTCTGCTTCAGACCCTAGTTGCCTCAGTTTTTCCCATACCTGAAGGTATCACCAGTGAAAGCTGCAAAACATCAAAGATGGCAGCCTGCTTCTTCCTCTGCTTCTTCCTCGCCGCAGCTCATGCCTGTAATTCCAGCACTTTGGGAGGCCAAGGCCAGCAGATCACGAGGTGAGGAGATCGAGACCATCCTGGCTAACATGGTGAAACCCCATCTCTACTAAAAGTACAAAAAATTAGCCAGGCATGGTGGTGGGCGCTTGTAGTCCCAGCTACTGAGGAGGCTGAGGCAGGAGAATGTTGTGAACCCGGGAGGCGGAGCTTAGAGTGAGCCAAGATCGCGCCACTGTACTCCAGCCTGGGTGACAGAGCGAGACTCCATCTAAAAAAAAAAAAATAGAAATATATAATTAGAATCATCCTCCAGCATTTACAAACAATATTAATATTATATGAGCACTGTCACAGTCTAAATCAGAAGAAATGCTGATTTTGAATTGTGAAAATAAAATAGTAGAATATGTGTGACTTAGTAGAACTAAGATAAAAGATAAAAATATTTAGAGAAAATGGACTTTAACTGATTAGTTAGCATAAGTGAACATAGAATTTGTGAGATTATAAAATAGAATCTGGAAGATGCCTAAATGGAATAATTATATCATCCTCAGTAGAGATTCTAGAGGAGGTTCACAAGGTAACAATCCTACAAAGGTTCACCTGAAGTTCAGCAGCTATAACAATTTTAATTAATCCCCCAGTTATTTTGCAAGGTATTGCTAGTTCAGGAAAATTTCAAATGAATCAGAAAAGGTGTTTCACCAGCCAGCATCATCCTGATACCAAAGCCGGGCAGAGACACAACCAAAAAAGAGAATTTTAGACCAATATCCTTGATGAACATTGATGCAAAAATCCTCAATAAAATAATGGCAAACCGAATCCAGCAGCACATCAAAAAGCTTATCCACCATGATCAAGTGGGCTTCATCCCTGGGATTCAAGGCTGGTTCAACACACGCAAATCAATAAATGTAATCCAGCATATAAACAGAACCAAAGACAAAAACCACATGATTATCTCAATAGATGCAGAAAAGGCCTTTGACAAAATTCAACAACTCTTCATGCTAAAAACTCTCAATAAATTAGGTATTGATTGGACGTATCTCAAAATAATAAGAGCTATCTATGACAGACCCACAGCCAATATCATACTGAATGGGCAAAAACTGGAAGTATTCCCTTTGAAAACTGGCACAAGACGGGGTGCCCTCTCTCACCACTCCTATTCAACATAGTGTTGGAAGTTCTGGCCAGGGCAATTAGGCAGGAGAAGGAAATAAAAGGTATTCAATTAGGAAAAGAGGAAGTCAAATTGTCCCTGTTTGCAGATGACATGATTGTATAGCTAGAAAACCCCATCGTCTCAGCCCAAAATCTCCTTAAGCTGATAAGCAACTTCAGCAAAGTCTCAGGATACAAAATCAATGTATAAAAATCACAAGCATTCTTATACACCAACAACAGACAAACAGAGAGCCAAATCATGAGTGAACTCCCATTCACAATTGCTTCAAAGAGAATAAAATACCTAGGAATCCAACTTACAAGGGACGTGAAGGACCTCTTCAAGGAGAACTACAAACCACTGCTCAAGGAAATAAAAGAGGATACAAACAAATGGAAGAACATTCCATGCTCATGGGTAGGAAGAATCAATATCGTGAAAATGGCCATACTGCCCGAGGTAATTTACAGATTCAATGCCACCCCCATCAAGCTACCAGTGACTTTCTTCACAGAATTGGAAAAAACTACTTTAAAGTTCATATGGAACCAAAAAAGAGCCCGCGTCGCCCAGTCAATCCGGAGCCAAAAGGACAAAGCTGGAGGCATCACACTACCTGACTTCAAACTATACTACAAGGCTACAGTAACCAAAACAGCATGGTACTGGTACCAAAACAGAGATACAGATCAATGGAACAGAACAGAGCCCTCAGAAATAATGCCGCATATCCACAACTATCTGATCTTTGACAAACCTGAGAAAAACAAGCAATGGGGAAAGGATTCCCTATTTAATAAATGGTGCTGGGAAAACTGGCTAGCCATATGTAGAAAGCTGAAACTGGATCCCTTCCTTACACCTTATACAAAAATCAATTCAAGATGGATTAAAGACTTAAACCTTAGACCTAAAACCATAAAAACCCTAGAAGAAAACCTAGGCATTACCATTCAGGACATAGGCATGGGCAAGGACTTCATGTCTAAAACACCAAAAGCAATGGCAACAAAAGCCAAAATTGACAAATGGGATCTAATTAAACTAAAGAGCTTCTGCACAGCAAAAGAAACTACCATCAGAGTGAACAGGCAACCTATAAAATGGGAGAAAATTTTCGCAACCTACTCGTCTAACAAAGGGCTAATATCCAGAATCTACAATGAACTCAAACAAATTCACAAGAAAAAAACAAACAAGCCCATCAAAAAGTGGGCAAAGGACATGAACAGACACTTCTCAAAAGAAGACATTTATGCTGCCAAAAAACACATGAAAAAATGTTCACCATCACTGGCCATCAGAGAAATGCAAATCAAAACCACAATGAGGTACCATCTCACACCAGTTAGAATGGCAATCATTAAAAAGTCAGGAAACAACAGGTGCTGGAGAGGATGTGGAGAAATAGGAACACTTTTACACTGTTGGTGGGACTGTAAACTAGTTCAACCATTGTGGAAGTCAGTGTGGCAATTCCTCAGGGATCTAGAACTAGAAATACCATTTGACCCAGCCATCCCATTACTGGTTATATACCCAAAGGACTCTAAATCATGCTGCTACAAAGACACATGCACACGTATGTTTATTGCGGCATTATTCACAATAGCAAAGACTTGGAACCAACCCAAATGTCCAACAATGATAGACTGGATTAAGAAAACGTGGCACATATACACCTTGAAATACTATGCAGCCATAAAAATGATGAGTTCATGTCCTTTGTAGGGACATGGATGAAATTGGAAATCATCATTCTCAGTAAACTATCGCAAGAACAAAAAACCAAACACCGCATATTCTCACTCATAGGTGGGAATTGAACAATGAGAACACATGGACACAGGAAGGGGAACATCACACTCTGGGGACTGTTGTGGGGTGGGAAGAGGCGGGAGGCATAGCACTGGGAGATGTACCTAATGCTAGATGACGAGTTAGTGGGTGCAGCACACCAACATGGCACATGTATACATATGTAACTAACCTGCACATTATGCACATGTACCCTAAAACTTAAAGTATAATAATAATAAATAAATAAATTTAAAAAAAAGAGTCCATAGGAGGCAGCTTAACTGAATGACATTAATGACTGGTAAAGATGACAATGATATAAGGTGTCTCTGACCATCATCTTTTTCTCTTACCCTGTGTCTATGAGGAGAAAAAGTAAAGAAATAAATTGATGAGTTGATTATGCAAGCTTCAAATTGCAGGGCTAGTATTACAGTTTCCAGGGGAACTCACATACTTGAAGTTTTGACTTAAGGCAAGTTACATCCTGGGATTAACACCTTTAATTGGACCAAACATTTAAATTCTGTTCATGTTCTGATAACCTTTTTTTTTCTACATACTCCTCAAAGACATTAACATTTTCAAAGGTCAACCTTCTGAAATCATGGAAATTCACAAGATTTTGTCAACATTTCCCAATGTCCAAATTAAAAAAAAAAGAAAAACAGCTCTACCAAACCAAATTATACAAGTAGAAAAAAAGTGGTTTTCATTTACTTAGATACAAGTGGCAATATTGCAAATAAAAGCCAAAAGACCAATTCAGATCTTTGATTCTAATAGTAATTTAATTTGGATGTGAAATGTTAAAAATTTATAATCTTCCAATGTAAAATTTTAACTGTAGATTGGTATAATAGGCAAAATATTTAAATGGAAGTCTTTGCTTTTCTTAAATAATGTATCAGGTGAGGAACTCACACAACCTAGGAAAAGAAGCCTCCCTTCTGTGGAGAATGTACTAGGAGAGCAAAGATGTATAGATACAGATGTAGATTAGACATAGATATAGATGTAGATAGACACCTCCCTCTGAAATATAAGGCATTATTATAAAGTGTTCTAGAATGAAAACCTTTTTTGAATATTTGTAGTTATCAGGGCTGAAACAGTGTGGGGGCGGGGAATTAGACTCCTAAATTAGGATAATTTGTGGAGAGTTTAACCAGGGAACTATTTTCAGTGGACGAGTACCACAAGGGACAATTTAGTCCCCTGAAGATAGTATCCATAAGGTGAGGTGCTCTACTACCAAAAATAGAAATTAAAGGGAAACAGAGAAAGCTGTGGGAGAGGCCACCTGACAGGAACTGAGACCTCTACTTCAGAATGGCAACCACGGCCATCCTACAGGAGGAAGTACAGGGAGTTTCTATCCTGATCTCACTCTCCTTTCTCCTGCCAGTCTCCTACCATTACTCCCACTGGATGGACCCAGTAGGAAGCAGAGGAAAACCAATCCAATAGACGGTGTTGCCATTAGTCATCCTCTAGGGAGAGAACAGGATGGAGGCAAGAAAGAAAGTGGGACAGCAAATTGAAAAGATCCAGCACAACATCTAAAATTTTTATCACACTTCAATAAGTAGTAATTGTACATATTAGTGCCAGTTGCTTGAACATATAAATAATGATATGAAATTGTTATGGAAACAGTAATGCTTTTAAATACAATGTATATTTTATTTATGAGAAAGCAAAAGAAAGAATATACAGTGAATATACATATCTACATTTGGTGGAAAAATAGGTTCTCAAACCCCTCGCACAAACTTCTTAGCTCCTCAAGGGTCAGAGCCTATAGGATGGGAGCCACTGCTTTTTTTGCTCAAACACTACTTGGAGCTATCAGTTTATAATAGCTAACAATCATTTTGTGCTAGCTGCTACGCTAAGTGTTGGGAGGTGTTTTATCTCATTTAATCCCTGCAACAACATATGAAGCAGGTATTTTTTTCCTCATTTTATATAGAGAAAATTTAAATTTTAGAAATGTTAAGTGATTTTTCCAAGTATAATATATTTAAATAGTAAATGTTGGATTTGAACCCATATCTGCCAACTCCACGGTGTTAGACATAAAGACCAACAGATACTACTACCTGAAAACCTAAATCAATTCAGACGTCTGTTATGTACCTCAAAAGGCCAGAGAGAATATGCATTTAATATAAGAAAATAGGGAGCTATCTGCATGCTTTGCAAAAAGTTCTGACCAAAAGATACTTCTGAGCAAGAAAAAAAGAAGAAATTATTTACTGTTTTTAGGCTATATGTTTAATGTAAGTCCTTATATTTGATACTGAGTCTACAGAAATCCCTCTAATGAAAACTAAAGTGTGAAACACTGCAGTTATCCAGTAACTTAATAAAAGTTATAATATTAAGCTTGTCCTATTCATTTAAGTGGCACTATTCACTATAAAGTCACTCGCCCTCGTTTTGTAATTTATTTCTCTAATGTCTCAATGCTATAGTCTATGATGAGATTGAATTTACAGAAGGTTATTGGATTTAATTACTTTCCCACAGTTATTCTACAATTTAATTGTATGTTCCTGCCATCTACAGACCTCTGCATGCATAAACAGTAGGTTTGATATTGTTTGAATTTACCATCACAGGATGAGAATTCAGCTCTCAATAAACACTGTTTTTTTTCTCTCTCTCTTTTTTAGTTCTTATTTGACGTATTTATTTTAGGCACTTCAGAGAACCACTGTTAGTTTTAGGAAAGAAACAATGTGTTTCCTCAAATTATCAGTATGTATACATTGTATTTGTCGATTTTTAATTAATTTAAGGTTAATTTTGATAATAACTAAACTACTTGCCTAAGTAGTTTAAATAGTCAATCTGTATTTAAAAATATACCATTAAAATAGTTTTTATGAAACTCTAATAAGAAGAGTTAGAAAAACCATTTTCTCTACTCACATGAATGACAAGTCTCTCAAGAAAACCTAAGGAAGTGTTTTAGATAGTAACTGAAACCTGCTTAATCTTTTATTGAGATCAAGGCATGTCAACATGCCAGTCATTTCTCCTCACCAGGTTAATTTAGAATTGGAAACACTCCTCAGGAGGAAACAAGAAGGTATTGGGTAAACCATACACAATCAGTGCTTCAAAAATAGGAAGCATTAGATCATCCTAAATTCTGAAAGAACCTGATGTGTTGCAAAAAGCCCAGCATTAAGGACAGAAAGAACCTAAGGTGAAATTCTGGTTTCACTGGTAGGTGAAGAGAAGCCTAGCTTCACACACACACAAAAAAGTTTAACATATGAATAACATATTTAAGGAATCAGGAATGTTTGTGAATGTATACGACTGTCAAAGTATGCAATAAGGAGTGGTAGAGACTGTGGCAGACTGGAATGTATGTGCCCTATCTAAAGCGACTATCGTTTTTTCAACATTAGGATATTGTGGCCATGTAGCCTAGGTTTTTTTAAAAAAATGAAGGTCAGTAATGCTTGTTATCTTTTCCTCCCCAAGAAGAGCTGGAAGTCTAGATTTTCCAGTTACTATTCCTGCATCAAGAAACCACCCCAAAACCTAGTAGTATAGAACAACCATTTTTACTATGCTCAGGAATTTTTTTATACATCTGGAGTCTTAGCAAAGTACAACAAGGGTGGCTTGTTTCTGCTTCACTATGTCTGGGGCCGCAGCTGCAAAGGCTCAGAAGCCAAGGGTGACTCAATGGCTGGGATGTGAAATCACCTGGGGATTCTTCTCATATTATATATAGCAGTTGATGCTGGCTGTCAGCTTGTCCCTTAATTAGCACTGCTGCATGGAACACCCATACAGTCCTCTCCATGTCACTTAGGCTTCCTCATAGCATGGCAGCTCAGGGTACCAGATATGAGTATCCCGAAAAGCAAAAGAGAAGTTGCATTACTTTTTATGACTTAGCCTCATGCTAGTAGTTACAAGCACCTCACAAGTCCAGCCAGATTCAAGAGAAGGGATAATAGTCTTTACCTGTCAGTGGGTGACAGCATGGTTCGAGAATGGAAAAAAAAATGTAGCCATTTTAAAAAAATATAACCTGCTACGTCAGTTTTTCTGTGCAATACTCTGATTTTTAGATACTGGCAACTAATTTAAAGAAATTAAACATTTTAAGGATTCAAATATATCTATAGATAGCTATGGTCCTGATTTTCTAAATTCTGTCCAACACAAAATAATCAAGATAGAGAAAAAAAAAAAACTCAGTATACAGGAAATTCTTCCAAAGGCACAGTAGGAAGGACTTACTAAAATACAGAGGACTATTTGTAAACAATTAGAGAAGAAGAGAGACACTCAAATAAACACATAGCATGTGATAAGTACTGTGCTGGGAGGATGTGTTAGAGGACATGAGGGAGCATGGGAGGTCACACAGATAGAGGGTGAAGAGAAAGTATTACAAGGCTTCTCAGAAGAGCTGATGCCAGGCTGAGATTGTAATGTTAAGTGAAACTTAGGCAAGGACCTCATCACTTGCAAAGACAAAGAAATGAGAATATGATTCATTACTATAGAATTACATTTTCTTCAGGCAGATCAGATATTTGAAAGTGTTGGGGCATATAGCTGAGGCGATAGGAAGGAAACAAGAAAGCCTAAATATACCACTAGGAAAAAAGAAAAAAAGTGGTATTGGGATAGAGTTTTAGGTTATCATCAAACCTAGAATTTAGCAAGACCAAATTCATGTTTGGAAAAAATCATCTTTTTTCTGCACCAGGCCAATGTAGTTATCTGAGCTCAATAAATTCTCCATTGGTTGCCATTCCATCCTTTTTTTGAGCAACATTTCTATGCGTTCGTTGTTTTCTTTGGTTTCTTAGTCAATTTGCATGTTAAAAAAACAGCCTCCAGGTCTTGTTATTTTGCACTTGCACATTGGTAGTGAGAGAAGAGAGATGTTTTTATATTTGTTGTATAAATTTATGGGGTACAGTTGTAATTTGTTCTATGCATAGATTTGTTCTATGCATAGTTGTAATTTCTTCTATGCATAGATTGAAGTCAGGGCTTTTAGGGTAACCATCACCCACATATTGTACATTGGACCTATTAAGTAATTTCTCATCACCCACTTACCATCTGGTTCCCCCACTCTTCTGAGTCTCCATTGTCTGCCATTCCACACTCTACATCCATGGGTACATATTATTTAGCTCTACTTATAAGGGAGAAATGCAGTATTTGTCTTTCTGTGTTTAAGTTATTTCACTTAAGATAGTAGCCTCCAGTTCCATCCATGTTGTTGCAAAATACATGATTTCATTCTTTTTTATGGATGAGTAGTATTCCATTGTGTACATATACTGTGTTTTCTTTATGCAGTCATCACTGATTGACACTTAGGTTGATTACATATCTTTGCTATAGTGAATAGTGCTGTGATAAACATATGAGTGCAGGTATTTTTTATACGTATATATAAAATGATTTATTTTCCTTTGGGTAGTTACTCAGTAGTGGGACCACTGTATCAAATGGCAGTTCTATTTTTAGTTCTTTGAGAAATCTACATACTAGTTTCCATATAGGTTGTACTAATTTACATTTCCACCAGCAATTTATAAACATTTCCTTTTCTCCACATCCTTGCCAACATCTGCTATTTTTGACTTTTTAATAACAGCCATTTGGACTGATGTGAGATGGTATCTTATTGTGGTTTTAATTTGCATTTCTCTAATGATTGGTAATGTTGATGTTGGTCATTTTTATGTCTTCTTTTGAAAAAATGTCTATTTATGTGTTTGCTTACTTTTTAATGGGATTATTTGGGGGTTTTTTTGTTGTTGTTATGTTGAGTTGTTTAGATTCCTTGTAGATTCTGGATATTAGTCCTTTGTTAAATGAATAGTTTTAAAATATTTTCTCCCATTCTGCAGGTTGTCTGCTCACTCTATTAATTATTTATTTTGCTGTGCAGAAGCTTTCTAATTTAATGTAGTCCCGTTTGTCTATTTCTGTTTTTGTTACCTGTGCTTTTGTGGTCTTAGTCATGAATTATTTGCTTAGACCAAAGCGTAGAAGAGTTTTTCCTAAGTTTTTTTCTAGTGCTTTTATAGTTTCAGGTCTTACATTTAAGACTTTAATACATCTTGAGTTGGCTTTAGTACATGGTAAAAGATAGGGATCTAGTTTCATTCTTCTGTGTATGGCCATCCATTTTTTCTAACATCCTTTATTGAAGAAGGTGTGTTCTTTCCCCAGTCTATATTGTTGTCAGTTTTGCCAGTGATCAGATGGCTGTAAATATGTGGTTTTATATCTGGGTTCTACATTCTGCTTCATTGATCTATGTGTATATTGTATACAAGTCCCATGCTGTTTGCTTACTATATGCTTGAGATTCATATGGAATCAAAAAAAGAGCCTGAAAAGCCAAAGCAATCCTAAGGGAAAAAAAAAAAAAAGCTAAAGGTATCAGATCACCTGACTTCAAATTGTACTACAAGGATATAGATAAGGAAGATATTTCTCTTCTAACACTGCAGTCCACATGGAAAAAGATAGATCTTTGTGATCTTAAATCATAGAATTGGAAAACTAATAACAACACACTTTATATCTTTGGAGAACCTCAGAAAAGAAAAATCAAATTTATCTGGGAAAAATATAGGATAGAGTCAAAAGAAGATACAGATATTATTTATTTTTTATAATTAGAATTTCAAATTTCTTCAACATCTTTTGATATATTATTAAGTTCATGTTTATTAAGGGTTTGCTATTTTGCTAGGTGCTAGAAACAGAATGGTTAACAAATATGGTACATTAAAGTATAGGTTCACAATCCTCCAGTTGCAATGCTGTACACCAGATGTTTCATATTCAGAATTTTTTGTATTTTAGAAAGACAATACAACACATATTTTGTATATTGCATATCACTACTTGTGACATCTGGGCCAAAAATATATATTAATATTATTGTATTTAATATATGAAGAACTATACTAAGCAAGATATAAATCATTATAAATAGCTTTTTATCACTTTAGGTCAGAATTTTGTTGCTTAATTCTTTCAGACACCCTATTTAAGAAGAAACTTTTGGTTTTATAGCTTTTGGATTTGGAATTTGAGGATAAATAATTGTGGACTTGAGTTACATAATATTCAGTACTATTAAATTATAGGAGACATATGAAAGAAGCAAAAGAGAAGTATAAAAGGCTAGGTGGGGGGCACAACCATATCTAAAGGTAGAACGTTACTACTACTAATAATAATAGCTACAATACTAAGCATTTGCTATGTGCCAGATGCCTGTATTAAGTACTGTGTAAACATTATCTAATGAAGTAGATAATTTTATCCTCATGTTACAGATAAAGAAACTAGGATTCAAAATGTTTGCCATGTTCAGGACTTTATAGCTTAATAAGTAAAAGGTCCAAACTTTAAACTGGTTTCTGTCCAGTTCCAAAGATGGACTCTCTGTCCTAATATCATATTGCTTCCCAAATACTTCATTCTATTTTTTAAACACCTCAGCTTATTGGGAAACTCTAAAACTGAAACAACACCTACCTCCTTGTAATCTCCATTTGCATACATTGGTCTCTAATGTGTCATGTAAACCTACACATAAATGAATCTAGGTTGTTTTTGCATCCACATGTCAGCCTTGCTTAAAGAAGAAAATATCCCTCTGTCAATATCCAACCCAGAATGCGGTAGAGTATTCTTGGCTACAGTTCTTCACCCCTCCCTACTTTCATGACCTTTGCTGTGTGATTTTTCAGTACCTCTCAATAAAGTGGCAGAGTATGTTTTTCTGACTTTTTGCTGTAATGTATATTGCCTCAACTGATACAGTAAAGTCACCTCTAGGTAACCTAGGTCTTAGGAGGTTTATGTGTTTCCGCTTGTCTTCTTGCCATTGCCGTGAAAAGAGCTCCCCCATGTGCCTGATTTTCTCTTAGTTTTGGCTTCAGATTGAACACATGAGGAGCTCAGACCTCAGGGAGTGCCAAGCCCAGCTCTTTGCATAGCTAGAACAGAGTACAGGAAGCCCAGCCTAGATCAGCCAACTTCCAGCGAAACCAAAAGCACATGAGCTAAGTAATTTCTTATTGTTGTATGATGTTGATATTTTGTAGTTGTTTGTTATGCAGCATTACTATACCAGTAACAAACTGGTATCAAGAATAATTGCCCATAGACCTGATTTCCTTCAACTATTCTTGGTATATCATAATTCCCATTTCACCAAATATCTTAGATGTTTTCTTCTGAAACCATTCCAGTGGTCCTAGTGTTCATCTTAAAGTTGGGCTCAGTGATCTTGAGATATATCAGATGAGAGTTGACTGGCACAAAAAAATGGCACTATTACATCCTGTGTTTCTTTCTTCAAAAGTCCTTCAACATAATCTGAAGTTGTAGTTTTCTTAAGTGGCTATGTCATATTATTGTGTTTTATTAAACTTGTTACCAACTGAAAACTTAGGTTGTTTCTAAATTAACTATTGTCAAACCAGTTCTAACATTATCTTGAGTTTTCACAATTGATTTTTTTAACCTAAACCTAGAAATGCACATTTATCTCTGTGACATTTCACCTTGTTGTTTAAGCTTCTTATTGCTGGTTTTGAACTATCTTTTGAATATAAATTCTTAAAACAGGATACTAGTTATACTTCCTAACACATCTTATATTTATCATTTTTATTCAAGTACTATTCAGGAAAAATTTTAGGAAAAAAGAATACCAAGAATTAAGTTTAGTAGCAACCCTTAAATTGACATTGACTGGTAGTTAAAGTTCCATAAGAACAGTTGTAAACATAGCCACAAATCTATGTGTCTGTACTGTCAGTCAGCTTACAAATTATTCACATAGAAATTATTTAGTATTTTTAAATTACTCATTCATTTATTCAACAAATATTTATTGAATATCACTATTCTTGACTTATGTATGCAGAAACAAATAAGGTATTGCTCAGGCTTTGATTAATTCACAGTTACTATAGGTTTTTAAAAAGTATGATCTCGGGCTTCTGCATTAGGAACACTGTAAATGAAACTCCAGATTTCTGAGCCCCTGCTGAGTCCAGTTGCATCAAAATCTGAAGAATGGGGCTCAGAGGCCTGCATTTTTCGCACAACATCCTTATAATGCTTATGCATACTAGATGTTAAAAACCATTGTGATAAAGAATGAGATCAAGATTAAAAAAAAAAAAAAAAGAGCTCAGGTACAATGAGAGCTGATCTACCTGAAGGTATGAGCAGAGTCTTACACAAGACAAGTGAGAAAGGGTGAATCTTGCCTAGGAGGGTGGGTAAATACATAACACAAAGCTGACCATTGAGCTGAATCTCAGGAGGATGATGAATACCTTCCTGGATGAACAAGTAGAAGGAGTTCCATGTAGAAAAAGATTACCATAGTTAGGGACATAGAGTCATAAAAAAACTGGGGTCTTTAAGAGACACTCCACCATGCCTTGATACAGAGTATATTAAGAGAGAAGTGACAGGGAAGAGGCTGGGTAGAATTAAAACATAGAAAATGGACTTGTGCTCAATGCTAAGGAATAATCACTCACAGTCTGAGAAAAGAGGAAGACATGAAAATACATAATTAAAATTGAGTTCAAAGTATGCCGCAGTGATGGTAAACAAAGACAAACAGAATTCTGATTTCCTTTCTCTTTGCAGTAATTTGGCATTATTACTAATGTTTTGTAGTAAGCAGGCTTTATAATGCTTCTAATCACAAAACAGTAAAAACTTCACCTGACTTTCGGTACATGCCAAGAGTTTCTGGGTGAATGTGACATTTTTTTTTCTTACACAAAGAAAAACTGTCAAAATGAAATCATTGTTGTCAACTCACATATTCTTTCCCCAGACTCTGGTCATTTAAATTTCTAAAGTCTGATGCATGAAAATAACCTTTTTCTTAATAAGTAACAAGTGATTTTGGAACATCATGCAAACACAGGTGAGATTCCATTTGGGACTTGAATGAGGAAGAATATAAATCACTATTAACACACAGCTGTAGTGCAGCTTGCACCAATGAATTCAGTAGCAAAGTCAACTAGATTAAAGTATTGAAGTAACTAGAGATTATACTGATATTTACAGCACTGAAATCCTACTGACAACTCATGAATTGTGACAGCCAAAGAAACACGTGATATAGTTAAAATTATGTCCATTTCAAACTAGGGTTCAATAGCTTCTATATACTTGTACCAAAAGCATGTAACAGTTCATTTAATAACGTCATGTACCACTGAGCCTAATTAGTCAGTGGAAAGCATTATTTATAGAAAATTTTTGCTATGTTCTAATAATAATTCTACATAATAAAACAAAAGATTAGTGTTTTGTTATAAAATTGCTCACCGCTCATTCATGTAATAAAGGGTCAAAGTAAGCAAAAAATAAAAGCTAAACTGAAAAGAAGATATTGAAGAGTGTTTATAAAGGGAGATAATTTGCAGAATTGTATGCACATTGTTATATTCAAAAAGCAAAAGCATATATAAATATATTTCCTTCTTATTTGAGGTATGAAGTTGCCTCAAATGAGGCAAAATACCCATTTTTTATAAAAGGAATCATTGCAAAGCTGATCATAATTCTACACTAGATGCCTTATATAGATCATCTATCTTGATTCTTAATCTATGAGTAGAGCAAATATGTCACTGTCCTCATGAATAATCCGCCTATATTTCATCCTGTGAACATTAAATACCATCAACTAAAACTTAAGAGGGCATATATGGTTATTTCATGTTTCAGAATATTTCAAGAAGATGAAATCTCTCCAGTGCTGCAACCTTTATGCATACGAAAAAGAGAAGCTTTGCTTCTATATGTTTACTGAGTTGACAAATACCAATTATTAATAGTTATTGAGCACCTGATATGTACTAGACACTTAAAACAGCCCTATCACAGGTTATCTCATTGATACTTCAAGTAGACATCACTATTGCCCATATTAAAGATCAGGAAACTGGGAGTTGGTGAGATTAAATGATTTGTCCAAAATGACACACAGCAATTCTCAATTTTAATTTCAAATACTGTTTTTGGATTCTGTATATAATTTTTAGAAAAAGTACTGATTGTATTCCAAGTGGAACCCAGAATGGAGACTTCGCTATTCTCCATCATGAGACTATGGTCTTTTCTTGTCTCACAATAAGTTGGCTGTGAGTGGGAGATTTACATCTTTGACTTTCTCAAAACAAACCAGTCAGAAAAACAACTGCAGGAAGTTATACTGTTTACTATCTATCTATCAATATACCTATATATCTATTTATGTTTAATGTATTTAGTGTACTCGTTAATTTTGGAAGACAAAAAGTTATGTTACATTTATACACAAACATGACTGCCCTGTAGCACAAGGCTTTCCATGTAACATTATTCATTGAATGCATTGAATAAGTAAATAATACAGTAATAAAATTTCAAAAATATTTAAAAATTATTTAATCTTAATGGAATTTCAAAGATACTTTAGAAATATACTAATAAAACCCATGATCTTTGCTTTGTTAGTCTGTGAGAGCCAGTGATATTTGAGCACAGAGAGATGTATTTGCATTTGGATTGAAACATATACATGCAAAAAGACAATATATTTTATTTAATATTTTTTAGTACACAAAATGATCAATTTTTCAATTTTTGAGTAAAAATTGTTGAGATATTTCTGCTTCTTTGAATATATTTTAATATTCCTATACTTAAAATGTGTAAAATAAAAGTTATTTAGGGAGTTTAAAGGGTTGATGTGGTTTATTTTCATAACAATGTGAATGTAAGGAAACTGAATTCTCAGCAAAGCAAATAATCACACATGTGAGCACTAATTTCTAATATCAGAGAGATTAACTTGTATGTTTTAATTATCTTGAAGTCCTCAGATTAAAGGCCAATTTCTAAATGGAAAAAATCTTGAATGAAAAATTAACTGTCTAAAATATGTGCACCAAATGCTGGCTAAATAAGCTATATATTTTTTATATTTAAATAGCTTGTCCATTCCAATGATATTGGCACCTGTGATTTTATTATAAAAAGAGATTGTTTAAGAATTTTTAACTCTATAGGAATTAACTCATAATAGCAGTTACGTATAGAATATATTATCTTTCCCATGGTTTTCCATTATGACTGGATGTATCATACTTGTTTGTTATACCTATCTATTTTAATGACTCAGAGCATTTCATTTCTCATCCCTTGAAATTAACAGCAGCCGATAAATAGTATATAACTTCACTTCTATCTACTTACAGTATTAGTATTAATACTAGCTTGTAGTATTGATAGTGTTAATCATGACCGGATTCGGAGACTACTACTCATTTATTTAATTTAGTTATCAAAATTCAAGCTTGCTTGAATGTGGTTACTTTCAAATAAACTAATGTTTTCCCAAATCACTGTAATTTTGCATTTAACTAAAATAATTGGCTTTTAGCATTTGAATGGAAAATGTATATTTTTAACCTTAACAGAATTAAACCCAATATTTTTAAACAGTCATGCCACTTTGATGCTAATGTTACAACTTCTATTTTTATATTGGAAATTTCTTTATAGAACTTACAGAGTTTGTGGTCAATGAAGGCTTAGGAATGGACCTGATGGCAAAGATGAAGAAGATAGACAGCCAAGTGAGTTCATGATACAACTTTGGGAAAGACTGCACTTAGGGGTGGACATGGAGTAGAATCCTTGATCCCCCACCTCATCTGCAACTCTCTCTTGCTTCCTCTGCCCTGACACTCTGGCTCTTGCCATTCCTTGACTATCCTAAGTACACCCCTCCCTCAATGCCTTTATGTTTTCTATTCTTTTTTCCTAGAATGCTCTTCCTCTGAATTTCCAAAGATTACTCCTTTAACTCCTTCAGGTCTTTTTTCAGTGTAATGTCATCTGTAAAGACTTTCCCAACCACTTTAACTATAATTTTACCTTTATCCCAAAACTTAATGTTCCCCCTTCCAGATTTAGTCTTTTCTCCTTAGCACTTATAACTGTTTTGTTTTTGTTTTTGTTTTTGTTTTTGTTTTTTACTTGTATAGTATTTTACTTGTGAACTCCATGAGGGCAAATAATCTTTGCCTATTTTGTTCACTGTGTATTTCCTAACACTTTGAATAATGTCTGGCACATAATAGGTTATAAATAAATTTTGTCACATAAACTGAGATAAAGTAGGTTGAAAACATTCACAATATTATTCTGTTCATGCATACCTTGCAACATTTATATATTTTATTCCAACATATCTAAGTGGTATGTTAATATATCTTTTCCACTTCGTATTCCCAGAATAGTACTGGTACTCTAAATACTTATTGAATTATGTAATGATTTTTATGTGATCACAATTGTCTAGGTAAATAGAAGGCAAAGGCTTTGGTCCTCAATCCCATGAGAAGTAGTAAAAGAGAATGATCTCAAATTTCCATACCTTAAACCCAAGCCTCATTACCTGGCATAGTTTCCAGTCTTCTTATCTAAATCTCTCAGCCCATGTCTTATCCTCTCTGAGTAGCATCTTTTCCTTATCACTTAGGAGCTGTCTAATAGCCAAGTCTACTTTTCTAGATACAAACTTCTCAAAACCTTTAGGTTCTCCCACTCATTTCTTAAATATAGTCAGACAGTTGACTCTTATTGAAGTTGTGGAAGAGTCAAGGAAAGTGGTAAAGGAAATTATGTAGCTTGTTCCAGATAGAACTGAATGCTAAGGTGATTGATCAGTGGCATAAGATCGCATGAGGGTCCCGAAGTAGAAAGCGTAGTGAAAGGGAGAGTACACAGGGAGGGCTGGGTGGTGATCAATGGTGATGCAATGAGTTGTTGGATGAGGATTGCAGGTTAGGAGGTAGCTGTTTAGAGTTGGAATGAATATAAAGCACAGAAGTTCCAATACTTCAGTTTATTCATTTGGCCAATATTCCATTTACTATGTGTCAGGCACTGGGTTGCCCCCTGGGAATACAATGATGATGCAAATAGCCCTGACCTCATGAAAATCACATTTTAGTAGGGAAGACAGATAAGCAAATAATAGCACATATAAAGATGGATTTTCAACAATACCATGTTATTTATAGGAGGTGTATAGCATTGTAGGCATTGTAGGGTTATTGGGTATCTGAGAAAGCTTCCCAGAGGAGGAAAAAATTGAAAGGGATTGAGAGGGTGCTGAGAAGCATGTGTGCTTGGGGCAGGACCTTGTTCTTGATGGTAGCTGAGATTTTTCTGAGAAGGAAGAGCAGGACAGTTAAATGTAGAGAGGAGCTCACAGCTCATCTAATATTCCTAATCTCAATCAGCTCAAGATCATACTGTAAATAGTTACCCATTTTTTAAGTCTGGTATTATGCAAATACAAATGAGAGTGACTATTTTGGATGCATATTATGGACTGGATGAATTGCAAAGCTGGATTAGTTTAGGACAAGTAACTTAATTAGCTAAAAATAAATTTTCTTTTCTGGTCTTGGGCTAATACTATCATTCAAAAATTGTGGCAATTAAATAAGAAAGGTTATGTAAACCTCTTAGCAGTGTTTGGTGTGTACCAAGTGCCAGAGAAGCATTAAATATATATTTTTTATGGTTATTTTTGTTTCTTGGAGGGGAGAAGAAGTAGAAGAATGTTAAAGATACAGATTACTTAATTTGTTGTTTAAGGCCCCCTCTTATTTTAAAATTCAGAAATCAGTTGGTAGAGGGGTAGGGAGTCGGAAAGAGTAAAATCAATTAGGAATTAGCATATAATGGATATAGGTTCTCTTTCACTGCAGATGTTATTAAAATTTTGGCAAAAAGAGAATTAAGCAAATCCTGCTTCTTAATAATCTATGCATTTGAGTTTGGGCCTCCAAAATATCAGATTTTACAAACCTTTCAAAATGCTTTTGAGTTGATGAGTGAAGTTAGCCCAGAATTATCCTGCAAAGTTGTATAAAAACTACATTTAGCAGTTTTAATTATGGATCCTAAATGTAGCATCTAATGACCTGAGATATTATAAATTGTGTTTACAAATCATTTATCTTAATATGTCAATTTTCTCACGTTTTAATTTAACAAAAAAGCCCAAGTTCATGGATATAAAGGAAATATAGGTGTAAAAACACAAAGCAGAGATCAATTGTGAAAATTATTCATACTACAATGATTTGCTTATACATTTATTTACACAATAAATATTTGTAGAGCACTACTATGTGTTGAATAATGTGCCAGGTGTTGATGATAAGGCATCAAAAAGGAAAGACACTGCCCGCAGAGTGACCTGTTTAAGCCAAAATATAATCATGCTTCCCTCTTAAATCCTTCATTGTCTTCAATGGCTCCTAATATAAAATCCAAACTGCTTACCATGTTAAGACAAGGTCCTTCAAGATTTGGTCCCTGTATATGTCTCAAGATTGAATATTGAGCCCCTCTCTCCCTAATACTGATACGCGGTCACTCCAGCAAAGTAGCTGCTAATGGCACACATTTTCTTGCCTCTGGGACTTGGTTGGTGCTGACCCCCTACCATAAGGCTTCTTCATTCCATCTTACCCAGGAAATTCCTACTTATTTTTAGGGTTTCCATATACGATGAAAAACAACAACAACAAAAAGAATGAATTAATGACTCCTTAACACTTGTTTAATGGTTTTTCTATTAGACTGTAATTTCCGTGAAGCCTTTTTCAGCCCCATTTATTTGTTGTTTAGTGTTTTAAAAAACAGACTGAATGTATGTATATGTAGCTACTAGGCATTTGTTTTTGTTTTATGGTTGTTATATTATTACTTTGTATAGTTAGGGATAATGAAAATGAAAGAATGTGTTGGGATAGGTGAAGGTGGGAAAGACACATGCAGCTAGTTTCTATGGGAAGGTAAGACTTTGTCTAGAAGGAATAGACAAATGAAAATCATCTTTAAAACCTACCTGCAAATAGGTTTTCCAACATAAGCATTCCATAGGTATAGGTTTCCCACCATAGGCATAAAGTTGAACTGTTGGTTAACTTCACCTTCAGCACTGGGAATCATAGATGTTCTCCTCCAAGGGAAGATTCAGGATAACCATCAGAATTAGCAGATAATACAACAGTACTGAGATGTGGATGGAAGTTGTGGAGTCTTGAGCTATTTGGTGAAAGGTTTCCCATTCCTTCAATCTATCAGTGTTTAGTGAATACCATGAATGACATTAAGAGGGGGTTCTGGTTGGTGGTGAGAGTTGATATATCTACATGTGTGTTATACTCATTCATCTACACAGTAGTTTTAATGTTTTTTAAATAGCACTTTCTTGGAGCTTTAGGAAGCTTAATAGAATAATTTGATAGACACATAAGTGGATATAAAAATAAAGGCACTATCAATTTGCAATTTGAGGATGGGGACCTGGCTGAAAATTTATCTTTGCTTGACTAATATCTCTATCAATACAATATAAATGCACAGTATAATAAGGTTTCAGTGTAAATGCTGATGAGAACAAAATTTAAGAATACCCCCTTAAATGCTAAAAATAGTTAGATATATATCCCTCACATATAATTTTCATATTGTTATTTCATAATATTTTTAACATAAGTTAATTGGCTTGATTATAGTAACCATTTCACCATGTATATCAAAAGCTCGTGTTTAAACCATAAATATATGCAATAAAATAATAAAATGAATTTTTAAAATATGTGACATTGACTGGCAAAAGTTGGCTGTATACTTTTCATTATTTCAGAAAGCTGCTATTTTTATTACATTTGTTTCATTTATCATGTTCTTTAATCATGTTGAAATAGGAATAAATGTAGACAAATGGATTTTATATAAATACAACCTGGTTATTTAATTTTTAATTCACTATTATTCTATTTTATATTCTAGAAATATAGTGATTAAGGTTTCTAAACACATTGTTACAATTACAGAGATTTTAATTAAAATTATGGCAATTATCAGTGATTTGGAACTTAATTACTTCGGTGGTTATAGCAGGTATAATTTTTCTAGGAAGTGGCACATACTTAAAATCAAGATATATAATGTTAGCTGCATTGACTCAAAATATATCTAATTATTAGTAAAATTCTACACACGATTTTGGCTTTTTGACTTCTAGACCTTAGACACTAAAAATAATGAAATAGATTAATACGTAAATAAGTGGAGTGAAGGAGGCAGGAGCCAATAGCAGATTAATATATTACTTTTTATTTGAATTTTATTTTTATCAGAAAAGACATGAGTTGTTTTTGTTTTACTGTTCCAATTGCTGTCAATATAAGTGGACATCCCGCTAAAGCATACACAAAGTTCTATAAACAAATTTCCTTTAAAATGTTCTAAGATTATTCATGTTCAAATACAATGATCTCTAGTTTCAGTCTTTAAAATTAAAACATTTATTCATTCATTCGACAAATGTTACTGAATGTCTGTTAGTCTTCAGGGGATTGTATTAATTGCCAACTATATTATTTGGGATATGGACTAAGCTTCCATAATAAGGATGTCTCACAATTCAGTGGCTCAAACAAGAGAAAAGTTTATCTCTCCTACATAATAGGCTAGGGCAGGTAGGTGGGCTCTGCTCCATGGCATCATTCACTGATCCAGGCTAGTGAGAAGCCATCATTAACATGAGTCCAAAGTTACTCTAGCCATTGCCATTTCCAGCCAGTTACATGAAAACTGAAAGGAAATAGAGGATAAACAAGTCGTAAAAAATTAGTAACATCACTCTGCACATAGACACTCAAAGGTAAAGGAGACTAGAAAATGTAGTCTTGAGCTGATCAGTATCTCTTATGGAATAAGGGACAGATTGGTTGTAGAGGGGAACAACGAGAAGTCTTCTATAGCCCAATGCTCTAGTCATCCACATGTGAGTGATTATCTTTCTTTCTGTTAAAAAAAAAATACCTACTTTCTTCCCAACAAAGAAAATCTAAGTTTCATTCCAATTACTGCAACCAGTCCAAAATCCAGGACCTCTAGAAAATATGCACATCTCCACATTAAGTATTGGTGTAGTTCTTTACAATTTGGCAACCTGAAAAATGTTAGATTATCTTTCTTATTCTCAACCTTCTACCCCATACAAAACACACAATGTAAAATGGTCAAAGGGGAACAGAATAACTGCAATAGAAACTATCATTAGAAAAACAGAAGAAAACACATAAGACTCAGTGGGCAATAACAGTTATAAAATCCTGCCAAGAGGTAAAGGCACCTAGAAACAGCAGTGAAATGTTTTGTTTTGTTTTGTTTTGTTTTGTCTTTTTAATAAGCGCATCTGGCAACCTCAGTTCTCTTTTCTGGGAGTTAAGCCAGATACCCTGGAAGGGTCTTCTTTATCCCAGTGGATAAATGGACTTATCCATGGCCGTATCTTAATCCAGTAAAGTAGAGTATGCCCTCCTTGGGAACTTTACAATTTTTGCAGCATGCTTTCTTCTGGTGTATGTTTGGAAGCCTAAGGATTGTTCTAGGGGTCATATATGGTAGCAAAGTCCAATGGAAAGATGTGAGGACATCTTTGAGCACTGTATATTATCTCTTGCGATTGAAATAGAGAAGTAACTAGCTTCACTGTATCCTGTTAAGCCTCAAATTTTTGAACCTTCTATCAATTTAAATTATAGAACTAACACAGAAATCAGAAAAAGCCACT